>NC_000007.14:121900718-122203748 GCF_000001405.40 Homo sapiens | reverse complement strand
AAGATTGCCACCTGGACACTTTGAGCTCCTCTTACCTTTAAGCCAACATGCTAAGAAGGGAGTTGCAGTGTTGGCTGGGGTGACTGATCTGGACTATCAAGATGAAATCAGTCTACTACTCCACAATGGAAGTAAGGAAGAGTGTATGTGTAATACAGAAGATGCTTTAGGGCATCTCTTAGTATTACTATGCCCTGTGATGAAGGTCAATGGGAAACTACAATAGTCCAATCCAGGCAGGACTACAAAGGGTCCAGATCCTTCAGGAATGAAGGTTTGGGTCACTTCACCAGGGAAAAAACCATGACCTGCTGAGGTGCTTGCTGAAGGCAAACGGAATACAGAATGGGTAGTAGAAGAAGGTAGTTATCAATACCAGCCTACAACCACATGACCAATTGCAGAAACAAGGACTGTAATTGTCATGAGTATTTCCTCCTTCTTTTGTTAAAAACATGTTTGTGCATGCATACACTTGTACTAAGAAAATATCTTCATTTTATTTCCTTTTTCCTTTAACGTGACATAATATTTATTGACTTCATATCAGCATTTAAGTGTTGTTAACTTTATGTAATAACATTTGGGTTGGGAATTGGTGTGCTTCTGGTTGCGTGAAAGATAGTTGTATTGTGTTAGGCATAATTACGACCTTATTATTGTCTTTATTTGAAGATTATGTATGATCTTAGGAGATGTGTATGGGTTCAAGTTGATAAGGGGTGGACTTGTAATAGTTAATACTGAGTGTCAACTTGATTGGATTGAAGAATGTAAAGTATTGGTCCTGGGTGTGTCTGTGAGGGTGTTGCTAAAGGAGATTAACATTTGAGTCAGTGGTGTGGGAAGGGCATACCCACCCTTAATCTGGGTGGGCACAATTCAATCAACTGCTGGCATGGCCAGAATAAAAGCAGGCGGAAGAATGTGAAAAGACTAGACTGGCTTAGCCTCCCAGCCTATATCTTTCTCCATGCTAGATGCTTCCTGCCCTCAAACATCAGACTTCAAATTCTTCAGCTTTGGAACTTGGACTGGCATCATTGCTTCTCAGCTTGCAGATGCCCTATTATGGGACCTTGTGATTGTATGAGTTAATGCTCCTCAATAAACTCCCCTTCATATATACATATATATATATATATATATATATATATATATATATTTGATTATATATATATAGAATGATATATATATATCGTATAAATATATATCCTATTCTACATATACAAAATAGGATATATATTATATATAATAGGATATATATACACACATATATAATAGGATATATATAGCCTATTAGTTCTATATATAATAGGATATATATAAAAAATAGGATATATATAACAGTATACATATAATGGGATATAGACACACATATATAATAGGATATATGTACATATATATCATATTCTGTCCCTCTAGAGGACTGTGATTGATACAAATGTCGTTGGTATTTTGATAGAGGGTGCATTGAATCTCTAAATTGTTTTGGGTAATATGAACATTTTAATAATATTGATTCTTCTAATTCATAAACATGGAATTTTTTCCATTTTTTGGTGTCCCCTTCAATTTCTTTTGTCAGTGTTTTATAGTTTTCATTATACAGGTATTTCACTTAGTATTTCATTTTAAAGTTATACCCAGTCAAGCCAGTGCAAAAACGTTTAATGTCAATGTTTAGGGAGATGTCCTTTTAGGACTTGTGCTGAACTCATTGAAGCTCTGAATTTTCAGGGAGCCCCTTGTTCATGTTTGTGTTCTTTATTTTGATCCAATCAAGTCCTTATGCAGACATAGCTGCTAAAACTGTGAGCCTTAAACCCTCAAAATTGCCAGAACTCAAGTTCCTTGTGGCTGATAGATGTAGTCTTTCCTTAACTTTAATTCATTACAAAGTATTTTCTTGTTTAACACAATGTAAAGAATGTTGCCTCACCATAGGTTATGCATAGAAAAAAGATGATTTGTTAGGGAAAAAATGTACAGTGACAGCAGTCTTTTGAATTCAACCTATAGAATATATACTATATCTGAAATATTTTATACCATTTTTTCAGTCATACACACTTTCTACTATCAGAATACTTTGACAATTATAATCAGGGAGACAGAAAGGATAGAAATTTTAAAATAAAATTGCATTTATAAATCATTTGTGTTAGAATATAATGAATTTCTACTGAAGTCACTTATTACTTATGTTGTTTCAAAAGCTACTGCATATATTAATTGCTAATAACAAGCTACATGACTGAAACAAAAAGATCATCTAATCCAATCTAACTTCCTTTCCAAGAAAATCAATCAATGATGTTGCTAAGAAAATGGAATAGAAAAACTGTTCACCTTGTAGCCATTATTGCATATTCAGTGTTGAGACTTCTGGTCTAGTTGCCATTGAGGGATTTTTCTTTGAAAATGTGAAAATCAAGGTAACCGTTTATTGTCAGACTTTTGTTGCTATGGAAGTATTCATTATCTTGGAACACCTAATGCGAAGAAAACAAATAGAATTAGTGGAGGCATAAATGGAATATAAACTTGTGACCTCCTACATTGCAACTAGAGCAAGTCTCCTTCCTTATTTTGCTCAATAGATTTTCTGAAGCTGCTCTGTGAAAATACCAGGTGGTAGTTGGAGGGAATGTCTGTTCAGCAATGTCTGGGGTGGGGTGGGGGAGGTGCTAAACCAGGACTAGACTGCCTGTTAGTGCTCATGTAAAGTTCCCAGTCTAGAGAATGAAGAGGCAGAGGGACAAAAAAGCTGACAAGTTTGGGGATTTGGTTTGGCAATGTCTATGTGAATAGAGCCTGACCCTTGTGTCTTTAGAAATTTTAAGTAAATGATCCAAGCTTCAGGTTTGGTCATTTCCTAGGTCCTTTAAATGGATCTAGGCAACAAATGAGACATGTCATAAAGATCATGTGAAAGCCTGATTGCTGTCACTAGTAACTGTTTCCAAAATAATTCAGACAGCATCCCATTCACTCTTTTTAACTAACCACCTCCTTGTTATTATCTTATCTGACTCCTGGCCCTTGGGTCTGAATTCCAATCTCAGTACGAATGTTAGGTTTCACCTCCTGATTCTGAGGAACCATTCTGGTCATGCTTTTGGTTCTCTCTATTAAGTAGAATTTTGGAACTTGACTTTTAGCTTCAGAATTTCTATATGGGAAAAGCATAGGAGTGGTAAGAGTGTGGGAAAGCAGGGACTGAGGGAACTATAAAGAAATTTTTATGTGCATGGCACACATATTTTTATTCATCTTGTTTGTTATAGAGTAATTAAGATGCCAAGTTTTAGAAAGTTACTGTAAGCATAGTTAGGATAAAATTGAGAAAATATCCTTATCAAGGAATTTTAATCTTTCTTAATTTTGTGATGGTTTAGAAAAGAACAATTAATGGAGATTTTACGGAGAAGGGGAATAAAGTCCTGGCATACCCCAGACTTTCATTTTCAAGTATTATAGCTTCCAGCAACTTGCTCTCCACTGGAATGGCCTTGACTCACCATCAGAGGGATCTGACACAAATACTAGCTGCACCCATAAGTGGCAGGATATTATCAATACCACAAAACCTTCTATGATGTATTAGTTAGAGCTTTTATAGTTATGGATGGCAGAAAACTTAATCCAATTGGCCTAAGCAAAGAGGAATTGGTCTACTATAAGAAACACATATAGGGCAGTGCTAACTTCAGATCCACTTGGCTTCTGGGGCTGAACATCATCTATCTCTGTGTCTTGGCATTGTTCTATTCCACAAGTTGATGTCATTTTCAGACAGGCCCTTATCTTGCAGAAGTGAAACGACTGCATCAGTTCTAACTTTACTTTCATATCCTGAAGAGACCAGGAACGTTACTGAAGGTGGGAGAATCTGGACTTATCAAATATAATTGTGGTGATATTTCTGTAAGGATGGGGAATAGATGATAGACGGCAACTCTGCAACTGTCCACCTCACATGACTCTTTGACACTCAGACATTGAATATTTTCCTACTTTTTATTTCAACCTTGCTCCTAATTTACACATCATCCTATCTATCACTTCCCCTCTCACTCTAAGTAACTACAATATATTAGATAGAATGCGCCTGGGATTCTATGCAGCACCTTAAATGCCTGTCTTAGCCTGTCATTTTAAATTCAGTAAATGTGTATTAGATTCCTTTATGTAGGGCATTGAATTACATAATGCTTGGCTGTGGAACAAGAAGAGCCAGGCTATTTTTTTCCAGGCAGTAAGTGTTTATCTCTGGGTAATATATTAATTTGAGGAAGGACATTCCTAGTTGGCTTTTACCCATGCAATGAATCATGTAGCTAGACTCCTTCCATCTTGTGGCATCATCATTCCAGGGACTTATAATCATCTGACTCTAGCTGGTGGAAGGGAGAAAAGAGATAGAGAAGTTACATGAGGTTCCTAAAACTCTTGGCCACAAAGGAGGACCCTCCCTCTCATGTTTCATTGGTGAGAATTAGTCAGATAGCCATGTGCAGGTAGGTGCAGGAGCATTGGGAAATATCATTCTTAGCCATCTCTGCATTCTCACTGCACACATCACAGTGTGAGGAAACATGCAAAATATGGAGTCTCTGTTTCTTTAGAAGGGAAAGCCGATTCCTATAGATACATAGCAGACAATAACTGAGGAAGAAGTTTCACAATTCATTTTAGAAAACCAAGGATTTTGGTGTTGTTTTGGATTTTGACCCCCTGAGTGTTGGTTATATATGTTGAAATTTCTTGGCATACTGCCATTCCCCAAAATATGCACAGATAGAAGCTTAGTAAATGCTGCTTGAAGGTAATGTTCTTCTTTCTCAGGGCAGGATCTGATTTTTTTGAAACTCCCTATATGCCTGATACAATAGTCTGCTCACAGCAGGTACATAGGAACAGTTAGCAGGTACCCCGGGGCAACTCTGCTTCCAAGATCTTAATCTCCTTTCTGACCTTGCCCTTTCTTTCCTACTGGAGTTGCTCTTGGTTCTCACCATGAGCTTCATTCCAAAGACTATCACTACAATGCTGGGTTTACTTTCCTGCTTCTCAGAGCAGACATTCAATGGCACACAAAGTAGCATACTCAGATCCATCACTCCCTTCAATAAGCATTAGCAGCAAAGCCTAAGCATTACTTAGAATAAGATATTGCCTAAGTATTACTTAGAATAAGATTCCTAAACTATTGTGTGGGGATCTATCTCATCATATTAGAATAGGTTACACTTTTTCAGTACCATATTCCGTTAATCACTTAATTATCTCCATGATCATATTTTTTTTAAAAAAACAGCAACCTTCCCCCCAAACCAGAGCAGATATCATTTCAGATTTTTACATATAGTAGAATGTTTGCTTTTTTTATTTTTTAGATCAGTGCCATTTACTGGTGCCATTTGCCCAAGGCAAATTTATTCTTATAAAAATCTCATAATTCTAAAATAATGGCAGATCTTCATATTCTTTAGATGTGAGTTGTTTGGAATGTTATATTAACATAGCACACATTGGGGCTTATTTAGCTTTGCGTCTTTAGCTCAAACTGTTTTATAATTTCTAGCAGAGAAGATAACCCTAAAATAATGCATATTAAAGAACAAGCTCTAGTAATTATAGAAATCTCGTTTCATATAATCAAGTCCAAACACCTTATCAATGCTGGATCACCTGATTGTGGAGCTCCCCTTTGTAATCATCTTTGCAATTCCAGCCCTGGAAGTTTTGTTGCCATGAGGTTTTGACAATGGCATGAATAGTGGCTACTCCTTCCTGTTTGGGTAAGAAAAAGGAAATGGGAATTAAGGAGGTGAGAGTATGTTCCCAGTGGGAAGCTCTGGGCAGTGTGATGAAGCAGGGAAAGTGTTAAGGGACACCAAAACAAACACACACACAGAGGTGCGTGGGAAGATCTCGAATTTGTGAGAATTCAAGATTATACAATTTGGGCTGGGCGCGGTGGCTCACACCTGTAATCCCAGCACTTTGGGAGGCCTAGGGGGGTGGATCACGAGGTCAGGAGGTCGAGACCATCCTGGTGAACATGGTGAAACCACGTCTCTACTAAAAATAAAAAAAAAATTATCCAGGCGTGGTGGTGGGCGCCTGTAGTCCCAGCTACTCGGGAGGCTGAGGCAGGAGAATGGTGTGAACCCAGGAGGCAGAGCTTGCAGTGAGCTGAGATGGCACCACTGCACTCCAGCCTGGGCTACTGAGCAATACTCTGTCTCAAAAAAAAATTATACAATTTGAAGAGCTCTCTTTAAGGAAAGAAATTTGAAATTATAAATTCATGATTTTATATTCACAAAAATGAATATCTATCTGGAATGAAAAAGAAATGACAAGTTACAAATTTTTAAAAGGTGGTAAATTCAACAAATGTCACAAAAATCAAGAAAAATTGCATAATCATTAGCTATCTAACACACTTGTCAAATACTTTTTTGTCTGGAGTTTTGACCCCGTGATCACTTCTTCATAAGAAACATTTTGCAGAAAGAGAATGAAATGATAATTCAATATTTCCTTAGCATGATTAATTGAAATTTACCTTTTTATTACTGACTGTTGAAAGGCAAAACATAGGAAACTTTAGACACTATTTACAGTGCCGCTACAAGTTCATACTCTATAAGTATAGAGATTATGATAAATTCTATGTATGTAATTTCCATCAAAAAAGAAAAAAGTTGCACTGTGCATTCATGATTGTACATACAATGTGTTATTTAATATGTTCTTGTTTTCATAAAACGTTCATGAGCATCATCATCTCCTTTGCTTACATTTTACATGCCTGACAACTGGAAAACTTTTCCACTGACCAGCTCTGGCTCATGCATTTCAACTTTTTAAAATTTTCACTACCCACATATATCTGGCCCCAGATGCTCTAGGACATGTTCATATTCTGATATGATCTCTAGATACTTTGAATCAAAACCCAGGTGTATTTTCACAGTGATAGTAATAATATTTCTGGAAGGTGTGGCTAGAAATAATTATCCATGGATGTGACTGTGAATTATAAATAAATTCTAGTAAACTCAAGCTAAATATATCTCTAACTCAACTTCTTCTGAGCAAGATCCTCAGAATATCTGTGGCCACTGAAACACTACTGCACCGGTGTGGCAGGGGGCAAGTCAGAGTGGAAAAGAATAGTCTCAATTCACTGAAATTAAAATATCTTACTTTTGTGAATTAAAAAAGGAAATATATGCACATATTGTTGGGCCTGTATTCATCAGCATTCAGCCAGAGAAACAGAACCAGGAGGAGATATATACTAAGAGGTTTATTGCAAGGAATTGCAATAAATTCCTTGCAATTTATTCCTTGATAAATAAATTCCTTAATTTACTCCTTAATAAATTAAGAAGTTTATTGCAAGGAATTGCAAGGAATTGGTTTACATGATTGTGGCAAGTCCAAAATATTTAGGATAGACTGAACTCTCAGGCATGGGTAGCAAAAATCTGCTGTCCACAGGTGGAATTTCTTCTTTATTAAGGAAGCATCAACTCCACTCTTACAGCTCAACTGATTAAATCAGTCCTATTCAGATTTCCTAAGATAATCTCTCTTACTTAAAGTCAACTGAGTATGGAATTTAATCAAATCTACACAGTACTGTCATAGCAACATCTAGGTTAGTGTTTGATTGAATTTCTGGTGACCATAACCTAGCTAAGTTGATAAGTGCAACTAATCATTGTAGGGATGTTTCCAGGCTTTGTAAATGGGCTGTGCAAAAGAGGAATGTTTAAAATGCTCTTGTTTTAGAAAAATCTGCACCTGGAGAGGGCACAGGGAATGAAAGGGATAGTTTGGAGAATACCTAGAACTGCTTCTCAATTTTGCATCAGATACATCTTACAGATTTCTTTCTCTTTCTTTTTCTTTCTTTCTTTCCTTCTTTCTTTCTTTCTTCCTTTTTTCTTTCTTCTTTCTTTCTCTCTCTTTCTTCTTTCTCTTTCTTTCTTTCTTTCTTTCTTTCTTTCTTTCTTTCTTTCTTTCTTTCTTTCTTTCTTTCTTTCTTTCTTTCTTTCTTTCTTTCTTCCTTTCTTCCTTTGTTCCTTTCTTCCTTTCTTTCTGATGGAGTTTCACTCTTGTTGCCCAGGCTGGAGTGCAATGGTGCTATCTCAGCTCACTACAACCTCCGCCTCCCAGGTTCAAGTGATTCTCTTGCCTCAGCCTCCCAAGTAGCTGGGATTATAGGCACAAACCACCACGCCCCGGCGAATTTTTGTATTTTTAGTAGAGATGGGGTTTCACCATGTTGGCCAGGCTGGTCTCGAACTCCTGACCTCAGATGATCCACCCGCCCTGGCCTCCCAAAGTGCTGGGATTATAGGCATGAGCCACCGTTCCTGGCCAGACCTATTTCTTTATTCTGGGTTACATGAATTTCAAAAAGTCTTCAGGGATTTCTCTACATTGAATTTATAGAAGGAACTAATTGGATTCCTCAGAAAGATTCAGTGTTTGACCCCTGAGGAATGGAAATTCATGGCTGTAATAAGTAGCACATTACACAATAGGAGCATAAAGTTACTTGCTTCTATTATTATATATGTAAGAATAATAAGGGTCAATACCTGTAAGTAACCTACTTACGAGAAATTGTGTTCAGTCCCAATGCTCACGAAGTTATCTACCTGGGTCTTAGTGTGTGTGTCTGTGTGTGTGTGTGTGTGTGTGTGTGTGTAAGAATAAAGACTTTTAGATATGAAGAAAGCAGTAACAATTACCAGGTTTTTGAAACTAATGCTTTTTCAAAACCAACCTATTTGACAGCATTTTCTCATAGAGTTAAGAAAATTATTCTTTTAAAATAAATACCAGAGACATAAGTAATGCTTTTGAAACATTGTACATTGAAGGTGAGACACTTAATAAGTTTTTTTTGTTGTTATTATTTTTTTTTTGTAGATAGACTCTAGTCAGAGTGATGTTTTGTGAGAGCCACAGAAATATTTATAAGTGGCAATGTTAAATATATTTGGACCTTGGCTTTGAAATATTGGTAAAAGTGTTCGAAGGTTTAAATTTTGTGCCTTTTGTTCAAGGGTAAATAGGCTCTGGAGCTGCTATGCATGAAAGGGAACAGCATCATTGTTATCTAGAGTATGTCACGGAATCTTTATGTGCATTTGTAATATCAATTCTTTTAGTTTGCCAGAGTTTGTTTTTGCCTTGGGTTCCGAAAGCAGGGTTAACTTTTCAAAAAACTGTTTTTATTTCTAATATTTATTAGCTTATTTGACTTTCTTTGCATTTAAATGTATATTTTGGGGTTGCTCGGTCAATTTCTGTAAAAAGACAGATGGGATTTCAACAGGAATTGCATTGAATCTGCAGATTTATTTGTGGAATATTGTGATCTTGTCAAAATTAAATTGTGTTATCCTTGAATTTAGTTGTCTTTTCATTTATTTAGATCTTTGATTTCTTTCAGAATTTTTTTTTTAACTTTACAGTGGACAAGTCTCAACCTTTTATTTTCTTCCAACTTTTATTTTAGGTTCAGCGGTACATGCACAGGTTTGCTACATGAATAAATTGTATGTCATGGGGGTTTCTTGTACAGATTATTTTGTCAGGGTTAACTTTCTAATGTTAGCCTTTTCTTAAATCTACATGAAGATGTATTTATTGCTGTTTTGGGAGGAAAAAGTATCTACACACATGTGTCTCTAAATCCAGATTAAGACTATTACTACAACAAGATTCCAAACATTTCTTTAGTTGTAACGAGACGCCTATCCCAGAACCTGCAAGATGGAAAGAAAAGGCATTGTTTGGGTCTATAGTTATTTTTCAGGTTGAAACTCTCAGGAAGTGAGATTCTCCCAAGGTGAAAAGATTAGAGTGCAGTGAAAGTGGTGGCAATAGGCAGTAGTATGCTGATCAACTAGCTCTCTCAAAAAACAGAAAAAAGAAAGAAAAGCCCTGATTTCACAGTGTTTGCCCATTTTCTTGATAAAAATTTGATACAAATACACTCATCATAATGAATTTCAAGATAACAACCATTAAATATTTAGTCTCTCAAAAATCCTATTTAACAATCAGAGACAGCAACAGTCCGTTCCAGTCAGCTCTTGCACCACTATTCATTTCTTCCTCTCATTAATTCAGCAAACATTAACTGAGTACATACTATGTGTTAGCCACCATCCTATATTTTAATGAGAATAAAAATACCAATTAATATGACCTTATTCATCAGGAATTGTCACCCACTCTCTCTTGAAGTGAAGAAGTTGCTTAAAATTTGGGGCATAGAACTCAGGAACAAAAAAAGAGTGGCATCTTATGATATGGGAGATTTATACCAACTCATGAGGTGGAAGATGGAAACCTTTATTTGTACCATTCAACAACAAATGGTAATAAACATCTGGTTACTATTTTTATTGTTCTTTTACACATTGATTTCCTTGAAACCCATGTCTGGTAACCTTGATTTCACTTTAAAAAGACTAGTAACCAATAATTAATTTTTATTATCTTGGTGCTTAAAATGAGCCTAGGAAACAGCTACACCAAGTGCTCTCCCTACACCAGTGTACCTGTTGAAGTCCTTGGGTTGGTTAGCTGCTGTGGAAGAGTGAAGCATTTCTGCTTCTCCCATTTATGCCTCTGTTTAAAGGCAAGAGAGTTGTGTGCCACACCACACCTCTACTTCAGAGGAATTTTGAAGCAAGCCCTTTCGACCTCTCACTTTGTTCACCCCTATACTTATTCCTTTCCATAAGAGAAAGGGTTGCAAACTTGATGCATTGGAATTTGAGTCGCTGTGCTAAATCAATGCCCTTGGGTAGCATAGTTTTTTGACTTTTTACATGCTGTTGGATTTAAATGATAATCAGATAGATTGGTGGACATTTGTCCTCACAATAAGCAGAAGCCTGTGAAGATGAAGCAGACATATGCTTCTCATTCATGTGGCTGGCTGGGTTAGTAAATTACATGTCTGATTTGCACATCATCCTTTCCTTCAGTTATCCTTCCCTCCCTTCCAATACTCTTAAGAGAGTAGAGGATCTCACTTTACCTTTTAACTTAAACTGTATTTTCTAATCCACAGTTTAACATTGAGATATAGGACACATACACTTGTATTAATAAAAATGACAATAAATTCTTGCTTAGCTATTGATTTTTAGAATATATTCTGTATTAGTCCGTTTTCATGATGCTAATAAAGACATACCAGAGGCTGGGTAATTTACAAAAAAAAAAAGAGGTTTAATGGACTCACAGTTACATGTGGCTGGAGAGACCTCACAATCATGGTGGAAGCTGAAAGGCACGTCTTACATGGCAGCTGGCAAGACAGAATGAGAACCAAGTGAAAGGGGTCTCTGCTTATAAACCATCAGATCTCGTAAGACTTATTCAGTATGAGAACAGTATGGAGGAACCGCCCCCCTGCCCACCTTGATGATTCAATTATCTCCCACCAAGCTCCTCCCACAGCATGTGGTAATTATGGGAGCTACAATTCAAGATGAGATTTGGATGGAGACACCCAATGGTCCCCACCAATGGAGGGACCATTCCACTCTGGTCCCTCTCATATCTAATGTTGTCACATTTCAAAACAAATCATGTCCTCTCAACAGTCCCCCAAAGTCTTAACTTGTTTCAGCATTAACTCAAAAATCCACAGTCTAAATTCTTGTCTGAGACAAGGCAAGTCCCCTACCACCTATGAACCTGTAAAATCAATAGCAAGTTAGTTACTTCCTGGATACAATGAGGGTACAGGCATTGGGTAAATACAGTAGTTACAAGTGGGAGAAACTGGCCAAAACAAAGGGGCTACAGTCCTCATGCAAGTCTGAAATCTAGCAAGGCAGTCAAATCTTAAAGCTCAAAGATGATCTCCTTTGACTCTATGTCTCACAACCAGGTAACACTGATGCAAGAGGTGGGTTCCCACGGTCTCAGGCAGCTCTGTCCCTGTGGCTTTGCAAGGTACAGCCTCTCTCCTGGATGCTTTCATGAGCTGGCACTGAGTGTCTGCAGTTTTCCCAGGTGCATGGTACAAGCTGTCAGTGGCCTACCATTCTGGGGTCTGGAGGATGGTGGCCCTCTTCATGTATCTGCACTAGGCAGTCTCCCAGTGGGGACTCTGTATGGGGACTTCAATCCCCCATTTCCCTTCTGTACTGCCCTAGAAGTTCTCCATGAGGGCCCTGCCCCTGCAGAAAACTTCTACTTGGAAACCCAGGCATTTCTGTACATCCTCTGAAATCTAGGTGGAGGTTTCCAAAACTCAATTCTTGACTTCTGTGCACCTGCAGGCTCAACACCACATGGAAGTTGCCAAGGCCTGGGGCTTGCACCCTCTGAAGACATGGCCCAAGCTGTACCTTGGCCCCTTTTAGCCATGGCTAGAGCAGATGAGATGCAGGGAACCAAGTCCCTAGGCTGCACATAGTGGGGAGGCTCGGGTCCCAGCCCACAAAACCATTTTTCCCTCCTAGGCCTCCATGCCTGTGATGGGATGGGCTGCTGCAGAGGTCTCTGACATGCCCTGGAGACATTTTCCCCACTGTCTTGGCAATTAACATTTGCTTCCTCATTACTTATGCAAATTTCTGCAGTCAGCTTGAATTTCTTCTCAGAAATGGGCTTTTCTTTTCTATCATATCATCAGGCTGCAAATTTTCTGAACTTTTATGTTCTGTTTACCTTTAAAACTGAATGCTTTTACCAGCACCCAAGTCACATCTTGAATGCTTTGCTTCTTAGATATTTCTTCCACCAGATACCCTAAATCATCTCCCTCAAGTTCAAAGTTTCACAAATCTCTAGGGCAGGAGGAAAATGTCACCAGTCTTTTTGCTAAAACATAGCAAAAATCACCTTTACTCCAGTTCCCAACTAGTTCCTCATCTCCATCTGAGACCATCTCAGCCTGGATTTCATTGTCTATATCGTTATCAGCATTTTGGTGAAAGGTATTCAACAAGTCTCCAGGAGGTTCTAAACTTTCCCACATTTTCCTGTCTTCTTCTGAGCCCTCCAAATTGTTCCAACCTCTGCCTGTTATCCAGTTCCACAGTTGCTTCCACATTTTGGGTATCTTTACAGCAGCACCCCAGCCTACCAATACCAATTTACTGTAATTAGTCTGTTCTCATGCTGCTGATAAAGTCACACCTGAGATTGGGTAATTTATAAAGAAAAAGAGGTTTAGTGGACTCACAGTTCCACGTAGGTGGGGAGGCCTCACAATCATGGCAGAAAGCAAAAGGCACATCTTACATGGTGGCAGACAAGAGAAAATGAGAACCAAGTGAGAGGGGTTTCCCCTTATAAAACTGTCAGATCTTGTGAGACTTATTTACTACCATGAGAACAGTATGAGGGAAACTGCCCACATGATTGAATTATCTCCCACTGGGTCCCTCCCACAACACATGGGAATTATGAGAGCTACAATTCAAGATTAGATTTAGGTGGGGACACAGCCGAACTATATCATATTCTGTCATCAAGGGGCCTGTGAGGAGGAAACTATAGAAATTAAAATGCCACAGAAAACCCTAAGTTTACTTCTTCCCACCTTTCATCCTAACCAGTTTAGTCTAGCTTTTCTTGTGCGTTCTACTCAGGTCTGTATCTCCTTGAAACTTTCTCCTGACACCAGCTTTTCTCTTTCTGTCAATGGATATTCTCATGTCACCAAATTCCCAAACATTTCAACAGTCCCTTTATCTTCCTTACAAACAAAACCTTGGCTTTTGTCTGGTGAAACCACATTTAGATTTTACAATATCCCATATGGAAACCATTACAGCCATTATACAGAGTAATGAAAAAAAGAATATTGGGTAACTTTTGTTATTCCTCTTAACCAACTACAGCAGTAGTTTGCAACCCCTCATTCATAAATATCATTTCCATTTTTTTTTCTTTTTTTTTTCTGTGACAGGGTCTCCCTGTGTCACCCAGGCTGGAGTGCAGTGGTGTGAACATGGCTCACTGCAGTCTCGACCTCTCAGGCTCAAGTGATCCTCCCAACTCAGTCTTCCAGTAGCTGGGACTATAGGCACATGCCACCAGGCCTGGCTGTTTTTTTTTTGTTGTTTGTTTGTTTTTGTTTTTTTTGGTAGAGATAGAGCTTTATCACATTGCCTAGGCTAGCCTAGAACTCCTGAGGTCAAGTGATGTGCCTGCCTCAGCCTCCCAAAGTCCTGGGATTACAAGCAGGAGCCACTGCACCTGGCCTCAATTCCAATTTTAGAGGGTTTTCAGAACTTTCTAGGGATCAGGGAGAAACAGAAAAAATCATGGGTGTGATACATGAATAAAAAGATATTTTGGAATCAAATGCTAAGCTGGAAAAAAAGAAGAAGAAAACCATATATGTATGAACTCTACTGTGCTTAAGAGTGAACCTGGTTTATGAACATGGTATGTCTTTCCATTTATTTGTCATCTTTGCAAATTTATTTCAGCAATGTTTTGTAATTTTCAGCATACAAGTTTTTTCCTCCTTGGTTAAGTTTATTCCAAAATTTTAAAATGTTTTTTGAGTTTATCATAAATGGGATTGTTTTATTTCCCTTTTCAGATTGCTCATTGTTAATGTATAGAAACACAACTGATTTTGTATGTTGACTTTGTATCTTTACCACTTTACAGAATTATTTTATTAGTCCTAACAGGTTTGCATGTGTGTGTCTGTGTGTGTGTGTGTGTAATCTTGAGGGGTTTTTATATATAAGATGATGTCATCTGCAAACAGAGATAAATTTACTTCTTCCTTTCTGATTAGAATACCTTTCTTTTTTTCTTCTCTAATTGCTCTGGCTATTACTTGCAGTACTTTGAATAGAAGTAGAGAAAGTGGGCATTCTTGGATCTTGGAGGAAAAACTTTCAGTTTGTCACTGTGGAATATGAGGTTTGCTGTGAACTTTTCATGTATTGCCTTTATTATGCCAATGTAATTTTATTCTACTCACAACACATTAAGTGTTTTTATCAGGAAAAGGTGTTGAATTTTGTCAAATATTTTTTCTACATCTATTGAGATGATTATATAATTTTTATCCTTTATTCTGTTAATGTGGTGTATCACATTGATTAATTTGCTTATGTTGAACCCCCTTGCATCACAGTGACAAATCTTACTTGATCATGGTATATGATCCTTTGAATGTGCTGTTGAATTTGGCTTACTAGTATTTTGTTGTGGATTTTTACATCCACTTTAGTCAGTGATATTGACCTATACTTTTCTTTTCTTGCAGTGTCTTTGTCTGGCTTTCCTATTAGAGTGATGTTGGTCTCATAGAATGAGTTTCAAAGAGTTCTCTCTTCTATTTTTGTAATTACTTAAGGATGATTGGAATTAAATTTCTTTAAATGTTTGATAGGATTCATCTGAGAAGCCATATTGTCCTAGGCTTTCCTTTCTTGCAAGGTTTATAAATACTGATACAGTCTCTCTATTTGTTATAGATCAGTTCAGGATTTTTATTTTTTCTTGATTTAGTCTTAGTAGGCTGTATGTTTCTAGGAATTTGTCCATTTCCCATTTGTCTAATTTTTGGTATATAATTGTTCATGATACTTTTTATGATGTTTTTTTATTTCTGTGGGATTATTTGCAATGTCTCCTGTTTTATTTTCTATTTTATTTATTTTAGTCTCCCCTTTAAAAAATATTCTAGCTAAGGATTTTTTAATTTTGCTTATCTTTTCAAAAAAAAACCACCTAGCTGAATGAAATCAAGAATGAACTACCTTAATGAAATCGAGAAAACAATGCAATTTACAATAGCTACAAAAATAAACTACCTAGGAATAAATTTAATCAAGGAGGTGGAAAGCATGATGAAAACTACAAATAACTGATGAAAGTAGATGAAGAGGACAGTAACAAATGAAAAGCTACTCTATGCTCGTGAGTTGGAAAAATTATGACCATTCTACCCAAAGCAATCTACAAATTCAATACAAACCCTATAAAAATATCAATGACATTCTTCACAGAAATAGAACAAAATTCTAAAATTTTATGAAGCCGCAAAAGACCCTGAAGAGTCAAAGCAATATGGAGGAAAAAGAACAAAGCTGCAGGTATCACACTATCTGACTTCAAAATATATTATAAGTCTAGAATAATGAAAACAGCACGGTATTGGTATTAAAACAGATACATAGACCAATGAAACAGAACAGAGAACCCGGAAATAAATCTTTGTATTTACAGCCAACTGATTTTCCTTTTCTAAACAAATTTTTAATTTTTGTGGGTACATAGTAGGTGTATATATTTATGGGGTACATGAGGTGTTTTGATGCAGGCATGTAATGTGAAATAAGCCCATCTGGGGAATAGATTATCCATCATTTTAAACATTTATCCTTTCTGTTACAAACAATCCAATTATATTCTTTTAGTTATTTTTAAATGTACTATTAAATTGTTATTGACTACAATCACCCTATTGTGCTAGCAAATACTAGGTCTTATTCTTTCTATTCTTTTTTAGTCCATTAACCATCCCCACCTCCCCCTTTATCCCCTCTACCCCTCCCTTCCTCTGGTATCCATATTTCTACTCTCGGTATTGATGAGTCCAGTTGTTTTTATTTTCAGATCTCACAGATAAGTGAGAACATGTGAAGTTTGTATTTCTGTGCCTGGCTTACTTCACTTAACATAATGATCTTCTGTTCCATCCATGTTGTTGCAAATGACAGGGTGTCATTTTTTTATGGCTGAATAGTTCTCCATTGTGTATATGTACCACATTTTCTTTATTCATTCATCTGTGATGGACACTTAGGTTGCTTCCAAATCTTGGCTATTGTAAACAGTGCTACAACAAACATGGGAGTGCAGATAGCTCTTTGATATACTGATTTGCTGTCTTTTGTGTATATATCCAGAAGTGGGATTGCTGGATCATATGGTTGCTCCAGGTTTAGTTTTCTGAGGCACCTCCAAACTGTTCTCCATAGTGGTTGCACTAATTTACATTCCCACCAATAGTGTACAAAGGTTCCCTTTTCTCCACATCCTCATCAGCATTTGTTATTGCCTGTCTTTTGGAAATAAGCCATTTTAGCTGAAATGAGATAATATCTCATTGTAGTTTTAAATTCCATTTCTCTGATAAACCCCTTTTCATATGCCTGTTTGCCATTTTTATGTCTTCTTTTGAGAAATGTCTATTCAAATCTTTTGGCCAGTTTTAATCAGATTATTAGACTTTTTCCTATAGAGTTGTTTGAGCTCCTTACATATTCTTGTCAGGTGGGTAGTTTGCAAATATTTTTCCTCATTCTATGGGTTGTCTCTTCACTTTCTTGATAGTTTCCTTTGCTGTGCAGAAGCTTCTTAACTTATATCCATTTTTGCTTTTGTTGCCTGTGTTTGTAGGCTATTACTCAAGAAATATTTGCGCAGACCAATGTGCTGGGGATTTTCCGTAATGTTTTCTTGTAGTAGTTTCATAGTTTGAAGTCTTAGATTTAAGGCTTTAATTCATTTTGATTTTATTTTTGTATATGTTGAAAGATATGGGTCTAAATTTCATTCCTTTGCATATGAATACCCAATTTTCTGAGCACCATTTATTGAAGAGACTGTCTTTTCCCCAGTGTATGTTCTTGGCACCTTTGTCGAAAATGAGTTCACTGTAGGTGTGTGGATTTGTTTCTGGGTTCTCTATGCTGTTCCAGTGATTTATGTGTCTGTTTTTATGCCAGTAATGTGCTGTTTTGGTTACTAGAGCTCTGTAGTATAGTTTGAAGACAGGTAATATGATTCCTCCAGTTTTGTTCTTTTTGCTTAGGATAGCTTTGGCTATTTTGGGTCTTTTTTTGTTCCACATACATTTTAGGATAGTTTTTTTCTATTTCTGTAAAGGATGTCGTTGGAATTTGATAGAAATTGCATTGAATCTGTAGATTGGTTCAGGTAATATGAACATTGTCACAATAATGATTTTTCCAATCCATGAACATGGAATATTTTTTCATTTTTTGGAGTCCTCTTCAATTCCTTTGATCAGTGTTTTATAGTTTTTATTACACAAGTCTTCCACTTCTTTGGTTAAGTTAATTCCTAGTTATTTAATTTTACTTGTAGCTATTGTAAGTGTGATTACTTTCTTGACTTCTTTTCAGATTGTTCACTGCTGGCATATAAAAATGCTACTGATAGTAAATATTTTGAATGTTTTCAGACTTGTTTGGTGACCTAACATATGCTCTACCCTTGAGAATAATCCATGTGCTGAGAAAAAAAATGTACATTTTGCAACCACTGGATAAAATGTTTTGTAACTATCTGTTAGATCCATTTGGTCTACAGTGCAGATTAAACCCAATATTTCTTTTTTGATTTTCTGTCTGGAAGATCTGTCCAATGCTGATAGTAGGGCGTTTAAGTCTCCAGCTATTATTGTATTGGAATTTATCTTTCTCTTTAGTTCTAATAATATTTGCTTTATACATCTGGGTGATGCAGTGTTGGGTGCACATATATTTACAATTGTTGTATCGTCTTGCTTAATTGATCTCTTTATCATTATATAGTGATCATCTTCATCTCTTCCTTATAGCTTTTGTCTCAAACCTATTTTGTCTGATATAAGTATAGCTATTCCTGCTCTTTTTGGTTTCCATTGGCATGGAATATCTTTTTCTACTCCTTGATTTTCAGTTTATGTGTATCTATAGGTGAAGTGTGTTTCTTGTAGGCAAATCAATGGGTCTTGCTTTTTTAAAAATCCATTCGGCCACTCTATATCTTTTGATTAGAAAGTTTAGTCCATTTGCATTCAATGTTATTGATAAGTAAGGACTTACTCCTGCCATTTTGTTATTTGTTTTCTGATTATTTTGTTGTCTTCTCTTCCTTCTTTCTTTACTTTCTGTTTTTCCTTTAGTGAAGATAATTTTCTCTGGTCATATGATTTAGTTTCTTCCTTTATATTTTTTATGTATCTGTTGTATGATCTTGTTTTGAATACACCAGGAGGCTTGCAAATACTATGTTAAAACATACGATAAAACTATGATAACAACTTAACACTGTTTGCATAAACAAAAAAGCAAAAAAAAAAAACCTAATAAAAACTCACTTTAACTTCATATCCCCTTTTGAACTTTTTGTTGTTTCCATTTATTTTTTATTGTATTCTCTATGTTTTCAAAAGTTGTCATAGTTATTATTTTTTATTGATTCACCCTTTAATCATTCTACATAGGATAAGATAGTTTACACACCACAGTTATAGTGTTATTATATCCTGTGTTTTTCTGTGTACTTACCATTACCAGTGAGTTTTGTACCTTCAGGTGATTACATATTGCTCATTAACATACTTTGGATTGAAATACTCCTTTTGGCATGTCTTGTCTGACAGTTCTGATGTTGATGAAATTCCTCAGCTTTTGTTTGCCTGGGAAAGTATTTATTTCTCCTTCATTTTTGAAGGATATTTTTGCCAGTTATGCTATTCTGGAGTAAAAGTTGTTTTTCTTCAGCACTTAAAATATGTCATGCCACTCTCTCCTATCCTATAAGGCTTCCACTGAAAAGTCTGCTGCCAGACACATTGGAGCTCCATTGTATGTTACTTCTTCCTTTTCTCTTGCTGATTTTAGGAGCCTTTCTTTATCCTTTATCTTTGGGAGTCCGATTATTAAATGCCTTGTGATAGGCTTTCTTCTTCTTTCTTCTGCTTGATGAATTCTGCTATTAAAAGACCCCAATGCATTCTTCAGTGTGTCAATTACATTTTTCAACTCTAGAATTTCTGCTTGATTATTTTATTATTTCAATTTGTTTGTTAAATTTATCTGATAGAATTCTGAATTTCTTCTGTGTGTTATCTTGAATTTCTTTGAGTTTCCTCAAAACAGCTATTTTGAATTTTCTGTCTGAAATGTCACATATCTCTATTTCTCCAGGATTGGTCTCTGGTGCCTTATTAAGTTTGTTTGGTGAGATCATGTTTTCCTGGATTGTCTTGATACTTAGGGATGTTTGCTTATGTCTGGGCATTGAAGAGTTAGGTATTTATTATAGTCTTCACAGTCTGGGTTTGTGTGTACCTGTCTTTCTTGAGAAGTTATGTGAAGAATGTGGGTGTTGAGATCTAAGCTGTATCAACTTTACGGGGCACCCCAATCCCAATTACTCTGTGGTTTTTGCAGACTCATAGAGGTACCACCTTGATGGTCTTGGACAAGATCTGGGAGAATTCTCTGGATTCCCAGGCAGAGACTCTCATTCTCTTCTCTTACTTTCTCTCAGACAAATAAAGTCTCTGCCTCTGTTCTGAGTCACCTGAACCTGGGAATGGAGTGATATAAGTACTTCTGTTGCCACCACCAGTATGACTGAGCTGGATGAGATCTGAGACATACAGAGCACTGAGTTTTACCCAAGACCTGCTGTAACCACTCCCTGGCTACTACTTAAGGTTGCTCAAGGCCCTGGAGGCTCTACAATCACGATGTGGCAAAGCTATCCAGGCCGATCTTTCCCTTTGGGTTTGGTGAGTTCCCTTAGGCCATGGGCATATCCAAAGGTGCTGTTCAGGAGCCAGGGACTACGCTTAAAATCCTTAGAAGTCTACCTGGTGTTCTGTTGTACTGTAGCTGTGCTGGCACTAAAACTACAAGATGCAGTCCTTCCCATTCTTTTCTCCACTTTCCAAAGGCAGAGGAGTCAGTCCTTGGCCACTGCCATCACAGGCCCATGGGGGTACTGCCAGACTATTGCCATTGTTCCCTTAAGGCCCAAGGTCTCTTCATTCAGCTTGTGGAGAATATGGCCTGCCTGGGGACTCACCCTTTAAGGCCTTGGACTCCCCTCTAGCCCCAGGCAGGTCCAGAAATGCTGTCCCAGAGCCAAGGCCTGAAATTGGGGACCCTAAGAGCCCACTTGGTGCTCTACTCTCCTGTGGTCAAGCTGATACCTAGGTGCAGGACAATGTCTCCTTTACTTTTCTCAAATAGAAGGATTCTTGCTCCACAGTCACCACAGCTGGGGAATGTGCTGAATCTCAACTGAAGTGAGGAGGTCTCAGAGTCTCACCCAAAGCCCTCAATGTAGAACTTGGGTATTGCTGCTGGTTATTCAGGGCCCAAAGGCTTTTAAGTTAGCAGGTGATGAATGGTGCCGGCACTATGTTTCATTCCCTTTAAGGCTGCAGGTTCCTTTCTGGCCCAGGGTGTATCTAGATTTGTTGTCTGGTGGCTGAGGCCTGGAAAGGGAGCCTCATGACTCTGACCCATTTCCTATCTTATTGTGTCTAAGCTGGTATCCCAGATGCAAGACAAAGTCTTCTCCAGTTTTTCCCCTCCTCTCCTCAGGCAGAAGGAGGTGTCTCTTTTGGAGCTGCAAGCAGTGTGGCCTGGGGTTAGGGGAGGAGTGATGCCAGCACTTCCTTAAGTGCCCAGTTGATGTGTCAGCAGGTCACATGCCCTCCCACTGTCAACCCCTGTGTGCTAGCTATGAACCCAGTTCAATACGAGAACTCACCTAAAAATTGCAGTCCTGTGACCTAGACCACCTTTCAAGTTTATTTAGAGTTCCAGAGCACTTTAGCCCACAGTGCCAAGACTTGCAAGGACTCAAGTTCTCATCACCTCTATTGGCAATTTCCCTCTGGCTAGTGCCGGTTTAAATGCTCCCTCTGTGGGTGTGTGTTAGCTGAATTTTGTCTGTTTTTTCTTTCTGCTATGACCAGACAGCACTGAGTTCAATCGCTTCATGATTGCTGTGCTCTCCTTCCCTCAGTGCTCAGAAACACTCTCTGCACCATGCTGCCAATGCTGGGGGATTGGGGAGGAGGTTGCATCAGTGATTCATGACTGTTTTTTTTCTACCTCTTTATTTCTGTTTCAGTGATATGAAGTTAAAATCAGGTACTGTGAGTGCTCACCTGATTTTTAGTCCTTATGAAGGTGCTTTGTGTGTGTGTGTGTGTAGATAGTAATTAAATTGCTGTCCTTGTAGGGGGACGATTGGTGAAGCCTTCTATTCTGCTGTCTTGCTCTGCCTCTGATTTTCAGCCTACTGATTTTCAACAAAGGTTCCAAGAACATACAATGGGGAAAGAATACCCTCTTTAATAAATAGTGCTGGGAAAGCTGTATATCCATATGCAAAAGAATAAAACTGAACCTCTATCTTTCACCATATTAAATAAGTCAACTCAAAATAGTCCAAAGACTTAAACATATGACTGGAAACTGCAAATCTACTACAAGAAAACATAGAGAAAATGCTTTAGGACATTGGTGTAGGCAAAGATTTTACAGCTGTGATTTCAAAAGCATAGACAACAACACTGACAAAACTAGACAAATGAGATGATATGACACAAAAAAAGCTAACAGCAAAGGAAACAACACAGTGAAGGAATAATCTGTAGAAAAGGAGAAAATATTTGCAAACTATTCATTCAACAAGGGACTAATATCCAGAATATACAAGGAACTCAAACTACTTGACAGCAAAAAAAAAAAACCAATAATCCCATTAAAAATTGGACAAAGTATCTAAATAGACATTTCTCAAAAGAAGACATCCAAATGGCCAACAGTCATGTGAAAAAATGGTAAACAATACTCATCACCAGGGAAATGTAAATCAAAACCACAATGAGATATCATCTCATCTCATTTAGAATGGCTGGTATAAAAAAAAAGAGAAAAATAACAGATGTTAGCAGGAATGTGGAGAAAAGGAAATTCATATATGCTGTTGGTGGGAATGTATATTAGTTTAGCCATGTACAGTATGGAGGTTTCTCAAAAAACTAAAAATAGGACTACCATACAACCCAGCAATCCCACTTCTAGGTATTTTTTGAAAGGTAAGCACTCCAAAGTTTACTGCAGCATCATTCACAATAGCCAAAATATAGAATCAACTTAATCAATGGATGAAAAATAAAGAAAATTGGGCATACATGTATATGTGTGTTTGCGTATCTATCTATCTATCTATCTATCTATCTATCTATCTATGCCAAATTTTCGGTATTGTGTTTCTACATATAAGTGTACACACACACACACACACACACACACACAATGGAATACAATTCTCCCATAAAGAAATAAAATCCTCTTATTTGTAGCAACCTGGGTGGAACTGGAGGTCATTATGTTAAACTGATAAAAGTTGGGTACATAAAGACAAATATTACATGCTTCCATTCATACATGAGAGTTTAAAAAGTTGATCTCATGGAAATAGAGAGTAAAATGGTGGTTATCAGAGGCTGCAAAGGGCAGGGAGTAAAGAGATGAAGAGAGGTTGCTTAATGGGTATAAACGTACACATAGATAGGAGTAGTTTCTAGTATTTAATAGTATAGTAGGGTGATTATAGTTAAAAATAATTTTTTAATATCTAAAAGAGAAGATTTGAAATGTTCACAACATAAAGAAATGATAAGTATTTGAGGTGACAGATATCCTAAATATCCTGATCTGATCATTACACCTTGTATGTATGTATGTATCAGAATATTATGTGTACTCCATAAATATGTACAATTATTATGTATTAATAAGAAATGAGGGAAGCAACCATTCTCTACAGGATTTAAATAAGACCCAGAGTTTTATAGTTTAGTACTCAAACATTTAAGATATAATTCAAAAGTACTTATCATGTAAATATCTAGGAAAATCTCAAACTGCACAATAAAAGAAAAACAACCAATGTCAATGCTGAAATGACATAGATGCTAGAATTATCTGACAAAACCTTTAAAGTAGGTATGATACAAACACTCTGAAAACTAATGGGAGAACTGTCTTAAAAAGAATTGAAAGATAGAAAGTCTTAGCAAAAAATTGAAGTTACAAAGATGAACAAAATAGAAATTTTAGAATGAAAAAATGTAATAACCTGAAAGAAAGAAGCACAAGATAAGATCCATAGCAAAATGGAGATGCCAGAGGCCCTATAAGCTTGAAGCAATAAAAATGAAAATAATACAATCAGAACAGAGAGAAGCACAATTGAAAAAATAAAAAAGACAGAAACCTATAGATTCAAGATAGTTACTCAGTGAATGCAAACAAGATAAACTCAAGAAAATATATACCCCAACATATAATTAAATTGCTGAAAACTAAAGAAAAAGAAAAAAATTTTGAAATCTTATACAGAAAAACCATAGTATATTCAGAGGAACAGTGATTCCAGTAACCAAATCAGAAACTATGAAAGAGAGACAGAAGTAGCACAACATTTTTTGAGTACTGAAAAAAAAATTATCAACCTAAAATTCTATATCCTGTAAAAATATCCTGCAAGAATGAAGGTAAAATAAAGGCATTCTCAGATGAAGGAACACTAAGAGACTTTGTTGTTAGAAGAACTACTCTAAAGTAATTGGTAAAGTAAGCTTGTCAAACAAAAGAAAAATGATAGCAGTAGGAAACATTTAATATCAGGAACAAAGGCCAAGCAAGAGAAATGGTAAATATATGTATAAACATAAGAGAATGTTCACTTCTTGAGTTCTGTAAAATATGTTTGGTGGTGAAAAGCAGCATATGAGATCAACACACAAAAATCAACCATATTTGTATATGTTAACAATAAACATTTGAAAACTGATATAAAAAAGCCTTTTTCAACAATTCAAAACTTCAAATACTTGAGTATAAAGATAACCAAAAAATGTACAGGATCTGCATGCTAAAACTGCAAATGCTGATGAATAAAATAAAATAGGACCTAAATAAACAAGGAGAAATGCCACATTCATGGATTAGCACATTTAATGGTGATCAATTCTCCCCAAATTTATTATAGAGTTAACATAATTCCAATAAAAATCACAATAGGATTTTTTGAGATAGAAACATATGTAAAGGTCAAAGAAGTAGAATAACCAAAACAATTGTGAAAAAGAAGAAAGAAGAATCATAGTACTTGATTTTAAGACTTACTATAAAACTACAACAATAAGGACTGTGTGGTATTGTCAAAGAGATAGACCCATAAATCAATGGAACTGAATAAATAGTTCAGAAATGCATCCACACAAATGTGGGCAATTAATTTTTGACAAAGATGTAACAGCAATTCAGTGGAGAGAGTGTAATCTTTTCAACAAATCATACTGGAGCAATTGGACAACCACATGCAAAAAAAATAAACCTTGACATAAACCTCACACTCTTTGCAGTAATTAATTTAAAATAGATTATACATCTAAAAAATACAATAAGTTTTTTTATAAGTACAGTTGGGAAAAAGTTTTTAATCTTGGATTTAAGCAAAGAGTTCCTGGAGAACACATCAAAAGCATAGTCAATGAAAGAAAAAAATAATAAATTAGGCTTCATCAAAAATAAAAACTATATTGTGAAGACATTGTTCAGAGATTAAAAAACAAGTTAGAGGCTGAAAGAAAATATTTTCAATCGATATTTTATAAAGGATTTGTATCCAAAATATATAAGATCCCTCAAAACTCAGGAAAAAAATGAGCAAAATACATGAAAAGACACATCATCAAAGTTATATGGAAAGCAAATACACACATGAAAATAAATTCAACACTTCCAAACCACCACGAGAATTACTGTGTACCTACTAGATTACCAAAAATGAAAATGGCTAAACCTACCAAGTACTGGTAACGATGCAGAGTAACTGGAACTCTTCAAAATTGCTAGTAGGAATGAAATACGGTAAAGCCACTCTGAAAAACAGATTGGCAGTTTCTCATAAAGTTAAACTTCCCACATGATCTGGCAAATCCACTCCTAGGTAGAAAAATGCAACAGCCTATGCACATAAAGTTTACAGGAGCTCTAATAATAGTTTTTAGAAGCTGGAAGTAACACAAATGTCCTTCAGCCAGTGAATGGATAAACTGTGATATGTTCACACCACAAACTACTTCTCAGAAATAAGAAGGAATGAACTATTCATATATACAACAACTTGGATGACTCTCAAAGGCATTATGCTCAGTGAAAGTTTACAAATCCTATGAGTCCACTTATAAGTCATTCTTGAAAAGACAAAACTGTAACAACAGAGAACAGATCAGTGGCTGTCAGGGGCCAGGGATGGGAGAAGGATGTTACTGTTACGGGTGGGTCTTTGTACTTAGAGCTCCCAAGATGGTGGTGGGCAGCTCCCAAGATGCAGCAGGCCACTCCCAAGATGGTGGCAAGCCTTTTATTCTCCGACCTGGGTTTTTTGGCCTCGCAGATTCCAAGGAATGGAACCCTGGGCCAGGCGGTTAGTGTTATAGCTCTCTTAGAAGCCAGGGGTCATGGAAGAGAACTGTGGAACCAAGCGACTAGTGTTCAGCTCAATTAAGATGAACCCGGGCACTTAGCCGTGCAGGAACAATGGTGAGCCTTTAGCCCGATCAGGAGCAGCAATGGGTGCCTCACTTGATCAGAAGCTCAGTGGACACCCTGATGGATCCGGAGGGGTGGAAGTCAGTGGCGGGTCTACGATGGCGGCAAACAGCAGTGGTGGACAGTGAGCTAAAGCTCAGCTCGAGCCGTAACAAATATGGACCAGAAGAGTGTGCAGTTGCAAGATTTAATAGAGTGAAAACAGAGCTCCCATACAATGGGAGGGGACCCAAAAGGGGTTGTCCACTCCCGGCTCGAATGCCTGGGGGTTTATATCACAATCATTATCCCTCCCTTGTGCTCTCAGATGAGACGTAATTTGACTATTTCTTTACCTCCTGCTTTTAGCCTAATTTGTATTTTAGTGAGACCTCTTTATTACCTGATTGGTCAGGTGTGAGCTGAGATACAAGCCTTGTGTTTAAAGATGGTTGCAGTCACCTTCCCCAGCTAGGCTTAGGAATTCTTAGTCCTAGGAAATCCAGCTAGTCCTGTCTCTCAGTGCCCCCTCTCAACAGGAAAACCCAAGTGCTGTTGGGGAGGTCAGCCAACGACCACTGTTAACTGCTTCCTGCTGAATTGGGGTGTAGTAGGGGTCATGCAGTTGAGATTTCCTCAGGAGGGGTGACTTCAATGTCATTAACATCAGGGCATGGGCTAGCAGGCTAGTCCAGGGGTCCGCGGTAGATCTTAGACATGATCTGCATCTGGGGCTCCATTTGAAGAATGATTTGTAGTTTTACAGCTTTGGTTCTGGAAGAGACAAACTTAACAAGCAGGTTAAAGATACAGGGATTGACATGTATGGCCTGAAGTGCAGGGGCATATGGGTGTGGGCGGTGAAAGTGGGGTTTCCTTTAGAAAAACTCCTATACGATGGGGCATCAACATTTCCAGGAAGCTGCATTCTCCATAGAAGCTCTTGCTAAGGGGAGCTACTGGTAGTACAGAGGCATGGAGGAGGTGCAGTGAGAGTGAAAGGGGGTAAGAGAACAGTAAAGAGAAAAATATGACAAGGGAGGGCCATGGGGATGTATGATTCTAGTTACTTTCCTCACGGTTGTCACTTGAAGAGCAGGCGCAGATCCTCTAGAGGTTCACAGGAATAGCTAGTGTAGTCTCCCGGATTTTCGGGTTCCTTTGGCAGTATCCAGGGTTTGACTTGAGTGTGATGTATCCAAGACTCAACTCCAGCCACTTTAACAGCGATGGGGGTAGATAAAATGACTGGGTAGCGTCCTTCCCAGGATGTGTCTAGGGATGGGGAATTAGAGGGAAGGGACTTGACTAATACCATGTCACCAGGGTGGAATAATTCCTTTCCCTCCTCTCAGGGAGAGGTTGCCTGTAGTGTTTTAAGAACTTGTTGGTATTTGGCTAAGGAGGTGATGTCTGCAACTAAGTTGGCCATCTCTCGGTCAAGCACAAGGTCATTGGTTAGGAAGGGCTGTCCATATAGCATCTCATATGGACTAAGTCCTGCTTTCTGGGGAGAGTTTTGGATTCTTAGTAAGGCTATAGGCAACAGAGCAGGCCATGCAAGGTGGGTTTCTTGGATTAGCTTTTTTAGATGTCGTTTGAGTGTTTCATTCATTTTCTTGACTTTTCCTGAGGATTGTGGCCTCCAGGCGCAGTGTAAGTGATATTGTATGCCTAAGGCCTGGGATACTCCCTGGGTTACTGCAGCCTTGAAAGCAGGGCCATTGTCACTCTGTAAGCCTCGGGGAAGTCCAAATCTAGGAATTATTTCATGAATTAGCACCTTTATTACCTCTTGGGACTTTTCTGTCCTACAAGGGAAGGCCTCTGCCCAACCAGTGAAAGTATCTACCCAGACTAGTAGATACTTAAATCCCTGAGATTTGGGCATGTGGGTAAAATCTAGTTGTCAGTCTTCTCCTAGGTAATGGCCTGTTCTTTGTTCTCCTGAAGGAGCCTGGCGATAAGGCAGAGGATTATTTCTTTGGCACCCTTCACAGGCCCTGACTATCTGCTTGATAGTTTTGAAAAGGCCTGATCCAGTAAATAATGATTTGGCCATCTGATGGGTGCTATCAATGCCAAAGTGAAAGGTCTGGTGAAGGGGTTTAAGGCATTTCCATTGGCTAGCTGCAGGCAAAATTATTTTTCCTTCTTCGGTGGCTAGCCATCCTGAGGGGAGAAAACTATGTCCTCATGAGGTTCCCCATTCTATTTCTTCTGCTGAGTACTGGGGCTTGGTTTCCTGGAGGGCATTACCCCATACTAGGGGCCCTTCTATAAGCATTTCTAATGGAGGGTCCCACCTGGTGGCTCTTTTGGCTTCAATATCCGCTTGACGATTCCCTTCTATTTCTCTTTCCTTTCCTTTCTGACAACCCCGGCAGTGTAAGGCTGCCACCTCTTTAGGTTTCTGTGCAGCCAATAATAATCTCCAGTGGCTTCCTGATGTTTGATAGGTGTTCCCTCAGAAGTTAGGAATTCTCTCTCTCCATATTGCTGTGTGGGCATGGAGGACTAGGTAAGCATACTTAAAGTCTGTATATATATTTACCCTTTTTCTTTCTCCTAATTCTAGTGTATAATGGCCCCTGCTTTTGCTAGAATGCCTCTCCCTAACAAAGGAGTGGGGCTTTCAGGCATAATTAGAAAGGCATGTGAAAAGAGTAAAGTTCCCCAGTCACAACTTAGTGGCTGGGAGAAGTATCTAGTGACTGCCTGTCCTAGGACCCCTCGGATAGTGACAGATCTGGAGGACAGTTCTCCGGGACAGGAGAGTAAGACTGAGAAGGCTGCACCAGTGTCCAGGAGACAGTTAACCCCCTGACCCTCAATGGTCAAGCCCACCCGGGGCTCTGTGAGGGTGATGGCATGGGCTGGCGCTTGCCCCGGGCACCATCAGTCCTGTTGCTGGATCATCTGGTTAATGGCTTCTGACTCAGGACCTTCATCCCCTGGGGCAGTGGGCCTTCCAGTGATTCCCTTGACATAAGGGGCATGGACAAGGGGTTGGCTTATTTCTATTCGGACAATCTTTTTTAAAGTGTCCTTGTAGACCGCACTGGAAGCAAGCCCTATTAGGCATTCGATTTGCCCAGCCTTTCCCTGTTCCAGAGCCTCCAAAGTCAGCTTGCCTGAGGGCCATGACTAAAGCAGTAGCCTTCTTTTTATTCCATTTGTCCCATTCTGCCTGCTCCTTCTGATCTCTATTATGAAAAACCGAGGTTGCCAAATTCAGTAGGGTTTCTAAGTTTTGCTCTGGGCCTAAGGTGGACTTTTGAAGTGTTTTTCCTAATGTCTACAGCTGAGTGAGTGAATAATTTATCCTTTAAGATTAGTTGGCCTTCAATAGAGTCAGGTGGCACGGAGGAATGCTTCCTCAATGCCTCCCTTAGTCTCTCCAGAAAGGCAGTAGGATTTTCTTCCTTTCCTTGTGTTATAGTGCACATCATTGACTAATTCATAGGCTTCTTCCCAGTTTTCTTTAGTTCTTCTAGCACGCAAGTTAGCAAATGTCTGAGGCACCAATCTCCATGTTCTGATTCTGTGTCCCAGTGAGGGTCTACACTGGAACTGCCTGCTGGCCTGTGGGGAATTGTTCTCTTTCCTCTGTTGTCATCCTATCGTTGGCCTGACTGAGATACCAGAGATCGCCAAACTCTCGGGCTGCAGTTATGGTGGCACATCTCTCATTTGGGGTTAGTGTCTGACCTAGCAATAACATTATATCTCCCTATGTCAGATCAATATACATCAATATAGCCATCAGGGTTATCTGAGAATTTACCTAGGTCTATTTTAATTTGCTTCAAGTCTGAGAGGGAAAAAGGTACATGCACTCTGATTGGGCCGAATTCTCCTCCTCCCACAGTTTGGAAGGGGCATAATCAGGGAATTTTGGCACTCTTGGGTTCATTGTTTACCCCTTTGTATATCTCTTTTTGGGCCATTTATGTTGAAGGGGGGTCTTATTAATTGGGGAAGGGGCAGGGAGGTAGACTCTGAGGGCTTCCTGTAGAGCATAAATTACACTTTTTACATAATTGCGAGTTGTCTCTTAATGAAAAGAAAGTTTGCACATATGGCACTTCACTCCATTTGCCCTCATTTCTACAAAAGAGTCTAGCTGTAAGATGGTGTTATAATTTTTACTTCACTCAGGGGGCCAGGTTTCTCCCCCTTGAAGAGGATATAGTGGCCAGGCAGTAACTGCAGAAGAACATAAGTCGCTTATTTTTTTATTTTTATTTTTATTTTTAGATGGAGTTTCACTCTTGTTGCCCAGGCTGGAGTGCAATGGTGTGTTCTCAGCTCACTGCAACCTCCACCTCCCGGGTTCAAGCAATTCTCCTGCCTCAGTCCCCCGAGTAGCTGGGATTACAGGCATGCACCACCATGCCCGGCTAATTTTGTATTTTTAGTAGAGACAGGGTTTCACCATGTTGGTCAGTCTGGTCTCAAACTCCTGACCTCAGGTGATCCGCCCACTTCAGCCTCCCAAAGTGCTGGGATTACAGGTGTGAGCCACTTTGCCTAGCTAAGTTGCTTATTTCTTAGTGTCTGAGGGTCAAATTGGTCCCAATTCTCCAGAATACATCTTAGGGGTGTTTTTGCCTTGGGGGAAATGTTTCCCATCTGAAAAAAAGAACATAGGGATGCCAGCACCGCTAGTCATTTTCCAATGAGCATTAGTCCTAGAGTGTCCTCTGTGGTCCTAATGTTTATTCCTTTTCAGGATGCGTAACCACCCATGGACCTCTGCTTATTGGATTAGTTACACTCACTGATGTAGCAGTCCTGCACCTCTTTTCCTGCCTTTCTTGACCACAAAGAAAGGGGTCCAGGCTGGTGGATTCTAGTAGTCCTTTACCAGCATGCCCAACATTGCCTTTGTGCTCAGGGGTGAGTCTTAGAACTGGGCTGGGTTCCTGAGTATTTCATAACATCCCAGGTGCCCCATCAAGATGCATTCCCGTAAATAACAGTTCTTATGCAAATTCACTTCAGAGAGGTGTGTAAGTAACCTTTTGAGTCAGTACTGAGATAGAGTTTTTTGATTCTATAAGTACTTTAAGGCTTGGCTGAGTGCAAACAGCTCGCATGTTTGAGCAGACCAATTATTAGGCAATTTTCCTAACTCTGCTTTTACAAGAGTTTCCCTATCAATTACTGGATACCCAATTGTGGTTTTTTTTCCTCAGTCACCTGGGAGGAACCATCTATCTCCTGTCCCGAAGGGAGTTCTTCCTAGGTCTGGTCGGACCTTTGCATGGTAATTAAGATTTAAATCCCTCATTAGGAAACCTGCTGGGTTAAGAGAATTTTCAGTGGTTAATGTTAAATTACCTTTTTCTAACAGAATAGCCCCATACTTTAAGATTTTTGAGTTAGTAAGCTACCTTTTTGCTTTTTTTGACTTAGGATAGCTCTGAACTGGTGAGGTGTGCTCTCAATGAGGTTTCCTCTAAAGGTTATTTTTTCTACTTTCTTCTGTTAGCAAAGCAGTTGCCACTACCGATTGAATGCATTTGTGGCTTACTGGGTTAAGGATTTTTGATAGGAAGGCTATGGGTTGTCAGTGGTCTCAGTGTTTTGGGCTACGCCCTTGTTTACACTGACAACAACGTAGTATTGGAGTGTTATAGCCTCATAGAGAAGACCTTCAATTATCAACTATAGGCTTAACTCTCTTCATTTCTCCTTCATGCTCTCTCAATATCTTCACTAGCTCTTTTGGTTTGGGTCATCTATGCAGACAAATGCCAAATCCTTACCTGTAGCCTTAACTTTTCTAAAAACTCTAGTTTTGAATTTGCCAGTTCCTCCTGTATGTGGTCACTTAGATATCTTGCAGGAACACTGAACTCAATTTATCTAACACAACTCTTCAACACTACCTACTGTATTTAATCACCATCTTCTCAGTCATTTTCAATTATAACATTTCTCTCTACGCTGTTTTTCAGGCATCTTCAAAGTACTATAGATTCTACCTCTGTACTATTTTTCTTATCAATATGGCCCCTCTTTTTCATGTCTATGCACTCTTTTTCTGCCTCTGAAATGCTCTAGGCTCACCATGCTGGTTGTCATGAAAACTGTAAAAAAAAAAAAAACAAAACTATATTTAATTGTCTATGCTTTGCTTTGGAAACTTCATCAGACCCTCTCTTACTCTTCTTACTTCAAACATTCCCTTGTATTAGCTCCTCTTGGTTTAGGATTGCTGTGGTTTGACTATTTGTGTCTCCTTCAAATTTCATGTTGAAACTTAATTCCCAGTGCAACAGTATTAAGACGTGGGGCTTTTAGAAGGTGTCTGCTCACTAAACACCAAATCTGCTGGCACCATGATCTTTGGCTTCCCAGGTTCCAGAATTGTGAGAAATAAATTTCTGTTCTTTCCAAATTACCCAGTGTCAGATATTTTGTTATAGCGCATAACAAATAGACTAAGACAAGGATCATACTTTCCTTGTACCTTTTTTTCTTCTCCATTACTCCAGCATGTGCTGGTGTTTCCCCAGAATTTTATACTATCTACACAGACTTTGGCTTCATGTCAATATACCTGTTACTAGGTGATTCCTAACCAGTATCTATACATTCCAAAAGAGTTCCAGAAAATTAGTTATTATCACTAGGCAGCTTCATCACTTGCTTCAACAATAAGAATTATGTCAGTCAACTTTGAATATGTGCCAAGAAATGGAAGAAAAGAAGCATTGAGGTAGAAGCAGGAATATGGTTTGTACCCAGTGCAAGCCTGATGTTGTAGTATAAGCCTACCATCTATTACAGGCTGAATTGTGTCCCCTACTCCACAAATTCTTGTGTTGAATCTCTAACCCTGAGGATCTTAGAGTATAACTGTATTTAGAGTTAGGCCCTTTAAAGAGGTGATGATAGTGAGGCCATTAGTGTGAGTCCTAATTCAAATTGAGTGTTGGCCTTGTAAGAACAGGAAATTTGGGGAGCTGGGTGCAGTGGCTCACATTTGTAATGCCAGCACTGTAGGAGGACAAGGAAGGCGGATCACTTGAGGCCAGGAGTTCAAGACCAGCCTGGCCAACATGGCGAAACCCCATCTCTATAATAATAATAATAATAATAGCAAAAATTAGCCAGGGGTGGAGGCATGCACCTATAATTCCAGCTACTTGGGGGTGCTGAGGCATGAGAATCACTTGAACCCAGGAGGTGGAGGTTGCAGTGAGCCGAGATCGCACCACTGCACTACGGTCCGGTCTGGGTGACAGAGCAAGACTCTGTCTCAAAAAAAAAAAAAAAAAGAAAAAAGGGAACAAAAGAAGAAAGTAGAAGAAGGAGGAGGAGAAGGAGAAGAAGAAGGAGAAGGAGAAGAAGAATAAATTTGGATGCCCAAAGAGACATTAGGGATTTGTATTCACAGAAGAAAGGCCATCTGAAGACACAGTAAGACAATAGCCATCTGCAAGCCAAGGAAAAAGGCCTCAGATAAAACCAAACTTGCCACCACCTTGATCTGAGGCTTCCAGCTTGCAGAAGTGTGAGAAAACAAATTTCTTTTGTTTCACTCAGTCTGTGGTATTTCGTTATGGCAACCCTAGAAAACTAACTCACCATCAATAAAAATGCATTTATAGCACAAACTGTCAACCTGTGTAAGTGCTAACAATAAAGTTTAAGTGAAAGAACAGACCCTGAACAAATTTTGTAACCACAATCATGTGGGAAAAGAAAGAAAATTCTATTTCTCCAGTTTTACCTCTTTTCCTCATTTATTGATATTAATATTTATTAATATTATGTGTAATTTAATAATACACATAATATTTAGGTCATGCTAATGTCCTTTAAAATATACATACATTGAAATAAAGCTAAGTTTATATCTTTGTAGCAGCAGCAGCCTCTGAATATAAGCCCCCTCTTTCCTTTTCCCTCTCCTTCATCTAAAATGGACAATTACGGGGAACCATAGCAGATGTTGCTGGTGAGATGCTAGTAGAAAGACACGTAGGAGATAAAGCTTAGGCCAGGCACAGTGGCTCACACCTGTAATCCCAGCACTTTGGGAGGCTGAGGTGGGCGGATCACAGGGTCAGGAGTTCAAGACCAGCCTGACCAACATGGTGAAACCCTGTTTCTACTAAAAATACAAAAATTAGCCGGGCATGGTAGTGTGTGCCTGTAATCCCAGCTACTTGGGAGGCTGAGGCAGGAGAATCACTTGAACTCAGGAGGCAGAGGTTGCAGTGAGCCGAGATTGCACCACTGCACTCCTGCCTGGACTACAGAGGGAGACTCCATTTCAAAATGAACAAACAAACAAACAAACAAAAAGCTTTGTGTTTACTCTTCCTCAAATTTCTCTTTGGCTCTGTAAAGTGGATATAAATGGATGAGAGTAAAAGCACCCCTGGCTGGGTAGTGGGAATCCTCTGCAATGCCTCAACATAGTTATTAAACCCTTAAATTCAGCTGCATGAGAAGCTGACAGCCAAGAGCTAAAATGTACCCAGACATTGCTTATTCTATCCTTTATTTCTGAACTATCACAATCAGTCTCTGATCTTTAATCTAGTGATAGTTTCTTATTTTTTAAAAGTCAAGAACAGCAAATACTCCTGCTGAGGATGGCAGTTTTAGTGAGGGTGAAGGAATAGGGAAGTGGAATATGTTGACAACTTACTTCTATAGCAAAGAGATTATTTCTTATGTTATCTGCTTCCCCTGGCTCCTGGAATCTGGCAAAGATGTTTTTCTTTAAATATTGTATGAAACTGGCTTTCCATGTGGTGTGGGATTTAGAAATTAGATACTTGAACAAGTTGTATAAAGGAAGTGTATATGAACATTGTTTAAAATGCCAAGACGTGAGCATTCAGCTTGGAATCAATTACAACCTTAAAGCAGGTCTGCCACACTGCCAAGTTGCTCCTCATTCTTTATGTCAAGTAAAACTGGACAGATCATAGAGGTAGAAAGTTATGGACATCATATTTGGGGAGGTAATTTGAATTGAGCAAATACATAGCTATTTTTTAAAATAAAATGCCATATTTGTAGACTCATATGTTCTGTTGCTTCAGACACCCTGATTCAAAGACAGACAGACAATCTTTTAATCATTTGAGAAATGAGAATTTAAGAAAAACTCTTCTTTCTGATTATGAGAGAGTGACTTCTTCCAACTCTCTGGAAATCCACTCAAGTGATAGGAATACTCCATCCTATAAAAATTGTTGGTCTGGGTATAAATTGTTAATCCATTATTTCAAGAAATATTTATTGAGTACTTCCTCTAGGTACTGGCTGCACATCAAGATAGACAAAGTTTCTACCAGATGGAGCTTATATTCTAGCAGAGGAACACAGATAGTAAACAAGCAAATAAGTTCAGATACTGTTAAGTGCTAAAAAGAAAATATAACAGGATAAGAGTGGGTCCTCACTGAAGACCTCAGTGAGAAGGTAACACTGAAGCTGAGAACTCGATGACAGAAAGAAGCCAATCTTGCTCAAATCTTCTAGGGGAAGAGCTTTTCTGGAGGAGGGAATGGCAAGTGTGAAGGCCCTAACATGAGAGGAACTTGGCATGTTCCAGGACAAAAAGAAGGCAGTGTATCTGGAATATTGTAATAGGAGAGATGCGATCACAGAGGGTGGTCAGGGACCAGCTCTGGTAGGTGAAGCTAAGGATAATGAGTTTTACTCTAAGTAGGAAAGGAAGCCCATGGTTTCAGGCAGAAAAGCAACAGGATCTGATTTATATTCTTAACACATGGTTCTGACCACTATGAGGAAAATCAATTTTACAGAAAAAGAGAGGTCAACCAGGAGGCTGTTGCAGTATCCAGATGGGAAATGATGGTGCTTCAGATAGGGTGGGCATAGTGCAGATGAAGAGAACTAGACTGATACTGTATGTTTCGAAGTTGAGACTTAATAGGACTTGCAGAGAGATTGGATGTTGGAGATTAATGAAAAAGGGAAATCAAAGATGACTCCTGGATTTGGGGGTTTAACTATCGATTGACAGTGCTTTTATTTTCAGTGAAATATGAATGATAATCATTAGATAGATGACAGGGTCAGAAAAGGGAAAGGAGAAGACTTATGGGAGGTTTGAGGAGAGAGGAAAGGTGTAAAAGAGTTATGAAGTGTGAGAGAGAATATAATAGTAAGTAAAAAAGAATTGTTGCAAAGAGTTTTATCTCCCATTTGGGATTAGCTATTAGACAATACAAGATTTCCTAATAGGATCCTTGTCATTGTGACTGTCTTATCTAAGAGAAGGGATGGTCAGAAAAGAGAAATACAAATAGAAAATGCCATTTTACACCACTGTGCCTCTGACGTGTAGGGTGCTCAGTCTGGAAGCCAGGTGGCCTTCTGCCAGAAACAAGAGAAACATTATTTTAGAAAAAAAAAAATCTTCCTGTAACATGGAAACATTCATATGAGTCTTACTAAACCTGAAAGAATTTACAGCAGAGATAAGCCAAACAAGTTTACTAATAGTGGTAAGAACCTTCAGCCTAAATGTACTATTTCCCACATTCCAGAATCTTGTTGAATCTAGGAAATGAACCTAATCCTATTTACCCATCTCTCCATCCATTTTTCTATTGATTCATTTATTTATTTAATGAATATTTACCGAATGTCTGCTATGTGCTGCTATGTGCTAGTAACAAGGTAGATGCAGTCTCTACCTTCATAGAGCTAATATTCCAACAGAATAAACAGACAAGAAACAAGTAAAGGAAAAGAAATGATGAATGCTCAGGGAAAGCCTCTTTGAGGAGATGAAACTTAAGTCGAGGCATGAAAGATAAGTGTCGGTAAGCTATACAAGAACCTGGGCAGGAGCATTCCAGACAAGTGTCAACAGGAAAGAATCTGGCATGACCAGAGGGATGCAAAACAGAGAAGAGTGACAGGGGATGTGACACCAGTGCCAGGCAGGGGCCAGCTCACTTAGGAGAAATCAGAAAGATCTTATGAATTTTACTCTTGCTCCTCAATCAAATTTATCCAAAAGTTGCCAGAATAAGCTTCTTAAAAATGTCGATCCCAGCAATCATTTATCTGCTTAAAAACCTTCAGTGATTTCTCATTGCATTTGAAATTGAATCTAAATTATCCAGCTTAGCCTACAGGACGTGGAATGAATCAAGGATACGGCTTAGATTTTTGTCTTCTACAACTGTATGGTGCACCAATGATAAACTGGAGATGACTAGAAGAAGAAAAGTTTTTTGGGGGGATTGGGGAAATCCCATTATATAATACTTTCAATGCATGTGTAAAAAAATTCCATGAGTATAATTAATTAAGAAAATCTTTGGTGCACTTCTATTCTGTTGTCTACATTAAAGAATTCAGGGCCAGGCACAGTGGCTCACACTTGTAAACTCAGCACTTTGGGAGGCCGAGGCGGGAGGATCGCTTGATATCAGGAGCTCGAAGCTAGCCTGGACAACATGGCGAAACCCCATCTCTACTAAAAATACAAAAATTATCTGGGCATGGTGGTGGGTACCTGTAATCCCAGCTACCCAGGAGGCTGAGGCAGGAGAATCGCTTGAACCTGGGAGGCGGAGGTTGCAGTGAGCTGAGATCACGCCACTGCACTCCAGCCTGGGCAACAGAACGAGACTCTGTCTCAAGAAAGAAAAAAAAAAATCATATTTGTGAGAAGTCCTATGATCAAAAAGTATCTTTATTCAAGACTTCTATTATGCAAACTTATTATGCATACTTATTACCCATTGGCTATAGTATCTTTATTCAAGACTTCTATTATGCATACTTATTATGCATACTTATTACCCATTGGCTATATTCGTTTAGCCTATTGGAAAGTTTTTTTTTTTCAACCCACCTCCTCCAACTGCTTTGCCAGTCCCCAGTCTTCTTTCCAATCATTCCACCTCTCCATAAATTTCATATTTGATATGCCCTAAGTATGACCAAAGCTATTACCACATCTGGGATTTCTCTGTACCCCTCCCTAGCTTTTTTTGTCTCTTAGAACTTTAATTTCACTTTGCTTTGTGCATTTTTTGTGATCTTCAAAACCTTCTGCTCTTTCCCCGCATGCTTCTCCAAAGGTCCTTGTTGCTAGCTCAGAATTTCTCTACCTTTTTGTATATCTATAAAATAATTCCTTTAGAGTATTCTAGGCACACTCTTTTTTCCATCCCTGATCCAGGGTTGCCACTTTCTTTTAGTTTAGAGTATAATGTCTACAACTAAGCCTTGGGAACGAACAGACTATCTTTACACTGAGGGACTGTATTTTCCATTGATTCTGAAAGTGAGAGACACAAGGACGCATAATCAAAAGTGCTACCACCTATGTAGGATAAAGTCTCTCGTGTTGCAGGACCATTTGTAGTAGGCAGATTCTATGAAGGATAAAAATTTTGTAGAAAAACATTTGCCTTACTAAAACAACAATCACAAACAAAAAACAAGAAGAAGAAAACCCAGTCTACGCTCTATTCCACTAATTATTTTTCCGTGAAAGGAATCATAGCGTAGTGGTTAGGAGCACAAGCTTTGGAGTCCACCAGAGTTGACCCCAGCTTAGGTTTTAAGCAGGGGTGTGAATGCCATCACTTAACCTTTTTAAGCCTCAGTTTCCTCATGTCAGTGGAGACTATTTTTATCTACTTCATGGATTGTTGTAGGGACTACATAAAATATTACTGGTTTATCACTCAAAACCTAGCATATAGACATTTAAGTATGGTAAGTTTTCTTATTTTATACTATGTAATTACCTTATTGTTTGTGTTTTCGCCATTTCATCACTGTACTCACATATAATTTTAAACTTCTTCCTTAGAACTTTCTAAAATATGCACAGTATTTTTAGATTCTGACCTATACTTTCCAGCCTTTTATTTCACCACTCTGTTGCTCATACTCTCTTCCCCCTAAGAAACAGTTAGGACAATGGTTTTAAAATATTTTCTGATCATTTGCAGCGTATTTTTCACTGATGGTCTATGAAAAACTTTTAGGAACTCGTTGATTTCCTATAAAATTTTTGTGCTTATATACATATACACACAAATTATACAGATAACTGTATATTTAAACACTCATATAATGTATATATTAAAAATAAATATAAGTATTCATTTCTAGAATTTCTTGTGCTTATATACACATATACACACAAATTATACAAATAACTGACATATTTAAACACATATATAATTTATACATAAATTATATATGTGTTATTATATATATTACATTCCTGCTTTTAGGACCTCAGCACAAAAATCAGTCTTCCCCATGGAATGAAAGAAACATAAAACAATTATCAAAATATTGTTAGGAATACTATACCAAGAACTAAAGTAAAATAACTCAAATCCCTAGTTACACTGAGGTATTTCTACATGTCTATATACTCTCCATCATGTTTGAATTTCCAGAAGCAGATCATAAAGTTATCAGTGTCATCTTGTGATGATCTAGATAAACCCTTTCAAAAGGGAGTGTTGGCTTTTAGGCCAAGAGGTTGAGCCTCAACAAAATTCTATCTTGGTGCTCACACAGCTCATCCAATCACAGTATCCCTTTTTTACCCAAACCCTTCATTCCCTCACTCCTCCACTCCATGTTTATGCTTAATATAATCAGTGTTTTAAGCTTAGTTTTCATTCACCAATGGCAGAGCTCTATAAATTCTTCAAATGAAACACATTAGCATCCATAAATATTATTTGGTGTTTATACTACATTGTATTTTTTTATAAGTCTTTGTGTTATTTACATGAATAGTCCATACTTTTGGTTCATGGTTTTGCATGCCATCATGACAGATCCCAAAAATTCAACAAAAAGAAGAGGATCAGTTCCAAGGTCTGCTACCAGTATAAGGATAAGACTTGAGTATTCATCAATGTTAGGAAATTTTTAAAGTCCACACACACTCTGGTAATTATGTCTGCTCCAAATGACACTAGCTAACATGTACAGTATTATTGAAGAATATTTGTAGTTATAATTATATTAACTATAATTTATAATAATTTATATTCTAAATCTAATAAATTCCATTTTAACAAAATAACATCTGCAAACTATTCAAACTCATTAAACCCCCAAATGAAAATATAATCAAAGTAAAATAATTATAAGGCATGTTGGCTTTTGCCAAGTAATGTTTCCATTTAGATAGTGAGGTCCCAGTCCTCTACAACACAGAGTCTTACATACTCATGTTCACATAGTATTTTTTTTTTCTTGAGACAACGTCTCACTTTGCCACCCAGGCTGGACAGCAGTGATGCAATCATGGCGCTCTGTAACCTTGACCTGCTGGGATCCAGTGATCTTCCCCCCTCAGCCTCCTCAGAAGCTGGGACTACAGGCACATGCCACCATGTTTAGCTAATGTTTAGAAACAATTTTTGCAGTGATGGGGTCTTGCTATGTTGCCCAAGCTGGTCTTGAACTCCTGGCTTCAAGTGATTCTCTGCCCTCAGCCTTCCAAAGTGTGTGATTATAAGTGTGTGCCACTGCACTTGATCATACAGTCTATTTAAAAAAAATAAACAACTGTGCAAAAATATTTAATATTTGAACTGACAATACATATAAAATGGTATTTAAAAACATTAAAACATATAATCACTTTCAAAGGCTTAGGGTTTTAAATTTAACAGAAAAGAGAATGAAACTGATGAAAATGATGCAAGTGTTCACGCACAGATTTAATTTTCTCTCAAACTGCAGGATACCTTGGACCCAGTATAATGGACTCTCGTACACCATCATACAATGAAGAAACAATGCTTTTAGAGAATTATCTTTAGGTGAAGAAATTAAAAATGTCAGAGTAAGAAATATACTGTACATAAACATACACATGAAAAGCCTAAAAATCCAGCTGTGACAAGAGACTTACAACTGAATCAAATGCAATTTGAGAAAACCTACAAAACATTTGCTTTCTGTAATCTCTACATACAACTTTAGAAACAGAGATTTTTGCCCTGGACTGGTATAACTAAAACACCCAAAACTTTTACTAACAGCATTTAGCGTAAAGGTGCTGATTTCCTTGGCATATAAATTTTTTGTCTTATTTTCTTTTTCTTTCCCAAATCCACCTATCTGATTAAATATACTGAGTAAATTTTAATTTTTTTAAACGCTGCTTTCTGAGTGTTCTTTGCTATAAGTCCATCTTGTTCTGGAACCTCTGTTTTGATATCCTCCCCATAATTATTTTCTCCTTCATATTTTCCTTGATTTGTATTTAATCAGTATTTTAGCTCATGTCTACCAAAATCACATGATCTAGAATAAGAATGTTTTTTGTATCTCTCAACTGACTTCCAGGAGTGGTCTCAGCTTGCTGGTGAAGTGAAATACCTCATAGAACCTGGCTTTTACCTTCTCTAGAGCTCTTTTCTTCCCTCCTACGACCACATCTCCTACAACCATATCCTGTTCAAATCTACAATCATAAATTCTTATCTTGTTTCCTGAATTCCTACGGAAGGAATCTGAGGAATTTCTTCTGCTGGAAAAATGTCTTTCTGATTTATATGGCTTTTCTGCTTTGCTACTACTTGTCTCGGTTTTATCAGTATTACAAAAATCTCTTGGCTCTTCAGACCTGTCTCCAAAATAATACAGTATTTCATCTGAAGATGGAGAGAGTATCTATCTTTCTCTTTTACTCATGTTTTTTGATATTGTAACTTATCCCTGCTTTTCCAGTAGTTTTTCCACTTCTTGCTTTTGGTTAAGAAAAGATGCTAAAGTATTAGTTGAAACTGGGTTTCACCTTTCCTACTCTGTCTATCTGGTTTGGGGATACCCTAAGCGAATGTCTCTTCGAATTTCAAGCAGACTTGGAACAGTTCCTCTTATGTTTCTTATGCTTTTTGTGACTGGAAGAGAATGAGGATGATGCAGAAACAGATTCATCAGCAGAAGAAACAGGAAGAGGAAGTAGTTGATTTTCTTTTCTTCTTTAGCCTTTCTCCCTCCCTCTCTCTCTTTCTTTCTTTTTTTTTTTTTTTTTTTTTTGAGATGGAGCCTCACTCTGTTGCCCAGGCTAGAGTGCAGTAGTGCAATTTCAGCTCACTACAACCTCCACCTCCCGGGTTCAAGTAATTCTCCTGTCTCAGACTCTCGAGTAGCTGGGACTACAGGTGCATACCACCATGCCCAGCTAATTTTTTGTATTTTTCAGTAGAGACGGGCTTTCACCATGTTGGCCAGGATGGTCTCAAACTCCTGACCTCAAGTGATCTGCCCGCCTTGGCCTCCCAAAATTCTGGGATTACAGGCATAAGCCACCGAGCTTTGTCCCTTGTTCTCTTTTGAGAGCTTATATAACTTTCTTCACATGCTTCTATTTTCTTTGTTTTCTGCTTTTCTTCCTTTTCAGCCTGTTTTTTCTCTGTACTTATTTATGAAGTTTCTGCGAAGCATTTTTTACATCTTTCAAAGTCTCATCCAAAGCCCAAGCTTTCTTCCAGTGACTTTCAGCATTTAAAAACTTTTCTTCTTCTAACTATCCTCTTCTTTCTACAAGTGTCTGTGAGTTGGAGAGTTTTGTAATGTAAGCTCAAAATCTTCTGTTGCTTTGTTCAGACTTCCCTTTGGTGTATTTAATCCTTCATGAACTGCCAGCGTTTTATTTGTTTGTTTCTAGAGCTTTATTGTATTCATTCACAGCATCCGCATGGCATCCAATCTTAAACTGTAATCTTCACACATTTTAAAGCCCAAGGTGCATATTGTTACTTTCTTAATGCAGAAACAAAATTGTCTTAAGAGAAATTATTGCTCTGCAGGCCTTTTATTAAAGATGGTGGATGGTTGCAGCAACACGAATGGAACTGGAGTACATTACCCTAAGTGAAATAACTCAGAAACAGAAAGTCAAATACCGCATGTTCTTCCTTCTAAGTAGGAGCTAAACAATGTGTACACATGTACATATAGAGTAGAATAACAGACATTAGGAACTCAGGAGGGTGGGATGGTAGAAGGAGGGTGAGGAAAAAAAAAAGAGAGAGAAAAAAATTACCTGTTGGGTACAATGTTCATTATTTGTGTGATGGGTACACTAAAAGCCCAGACTTCACCAGTGTGAAATATATCTATGCAACAAAACTGCACTTGTACCCCCTCAATGTGTTTTTGGTGGTGGTGTTTTTTTTTTTGGTTTTTGTTTGTTTGTTTTTTTTTAGATGGAGTCTTGCTCTGTCACCCAGGCTGGAGTGCAGTGGCACACTCTGGGCTCACTGCAACCTCCGCCTCTCAGATTCAAGTGATTCTCCTGCCTCAGCCTCCCAAGTAGCTGGGATTACAGGCATGCACCACCACGCCTGGCTAATTTTTGTATTTTTAGTAGAGACATGGTTTCACCATGTTGGTCAGGCTGGTCTTGAACTCCTGACCTCTTGATCCGCCCACCTTGGCCTCCCAAAGTGCTGTGATTACAGGCATGAGCCACCATGCCTGGCCCTAAATATGTTTTTTTAAGGTGGTGGATTATATTAGTCTATTCCTACTTTTTCTAGAAAAAAAATTACTCCTCAATTAACAAATCCCACTGAACTCTGCATGATATTTTTATAGGCTCCAAAGAATTGTTATTTAGTTCAACACACCTCCTGTAGCACAAAGGAAGTTCTTCAGGGCTAATTACACCTAATTTAATACCAGATAGGTGTGGTGGAAGAGACGAGGTATCCAGAGACAGTGCAAGCTTTGCATGGCATCTATCAATATCCTTGATTCCAGCTTGAATGATGTCACCAGTTTGATAGTAAGATAAATAACCCCTATGGTTACTGTGAGAAGACACATTTCTTAATGGACAAAGACCTGTGATTTCTAAGTGGAATGTATCTCCTATGATGCCACTTCATCAACAAATCAACACCATGAAAAATTAAAATTCCTGTATAAAACTAGTTTTTCCAATCACTAAGTCACCATGCTCAATAGTTTGGAAAAACAGCTCTCTCCAATCTACACTGGGTATCTCCATAAATAGTTTTGGGGTGACAATGATTTCCCGCTTATTGCTGGTCCCTAAGTGTTACATCACATGTTTTTGTTTCCTTAACCTTGTCCATAACTCTTTAGATAATATTTTTATTAAGCTCACTCAGTTACAGCCTTTGTGTTTGCCTTTTATTTCCTGCTATTCCATTGACTGATACATTATGGAAAGGAGGAGAAATTGGGAGGGACCAGATGAAGGCAACCATTGGCATTGGGATGCAGTTTAAGTGGTGGAGCAGATGCAGCTAAGAAGGCAGAAAGTGGAATTCAGAAAATATGGGCACAGTCTCGATGCCGTGGCTGATGCCTGTAATCCCAGCATTTTGGGAGACTGAGCAGGAGCATCACTTGAGGCCAGGAGTTCAAGACCAGCCTGAGCAACATACCAAGACCTCGACTCTACAAAAAATTAAAAAATTAGCCAGGTGTGTTGGCACGTGCCTGGAGTCTCAACTACCTGGGAGGCTGAAGCAAGAGGCTGAGCCCAGGAGATCGAGATTGCAGTGGGCAATGATCACACTACTGCACTCCAATCTGGGTGACAGAGAGAGACCCTGTCTCAAAAAATAAAATAAAATAAAATAAAAATCTTCTTGAGAAGACAATAGGGTCTCCCGATAGAGACCTGGGAAATTTCTTAGTACCTTCAGTGATTCATTTAAAAATAATTTGTAAAGTTGGTCATTCTTCCCTCTATTTTGTTACTGTTCATCTGTTTCATTCGAGAGTGATATCTTTTGATTTTCCTTACACTTTGGAGGTTTCTGGGCCCAGTATACCCTGCATAATAATGACAATTATGCTTCAAGATATGTTTTCAAGACAGTGTTTACCAACTTTTTGATAAGCTTTTTGTCAGCCTATCTAATGAAGAACCATGAGTTACAGACTTATCAGGAATCAGGTAATCAAAAACAAGTTTATTCCCACTACTTTATTTTCACATATTTATTGTGAGATACTTTTGTTAAATGGGTCTGTAGAAATTTCAGGCTTTATGTCCCTTTCTGTCTTTAATAAGACACGTTCAATAGATTTAGAGCCCACCCAAATCCAGTATAATCTCACTTAAAAAACAAACAACAACAACAAAGAAAAACAAAAAACAAAAACAAAAACAAAAAAGAAAAGGTCTTGCTATGTTACTGAGGCTGGAGTGCAGTGGAAAGATCATAGCTCACCACAAACCTTGAACTCCTGGACTTAAGTAATCCTCTTGCCTCAGCCTCCTGAGTAGCTTGAACTACAGGGATTCATCCAGCTAATTTTTTATTTTTTGGTAGAGACAAGTTCTTGTTATGTTGCTCAGGCTGGTGTTGAGCTCCTGGCCCCAAGCAATCCTCCTGCCTTGGCCTCCTAAAGAGCTAGGATTACAAGCATGAATCACTATACTCATCTCTATAATCTCATCTTGATTCTTATATGGGCAAAAATCTTATTTCCAAATAAGGTCACATTCTAAGGCTCTGGGTGGGCATGAATTTTGCGGGCATGGGAGGGTGGGGTTCTCTATGAACCTGTTACAAGGCCATTAAACTTCATGAGTTGCTAGGTACAGGGTTGCCTTCCTGTCAGGCGAGCTGGTGTGGGCTCAGCAGGTAGTACAGACAGGCTTCTACAAGTGGCAGAGATGCCAAAGCAGCCAAGACATTGGGGACTTAAGGAGGCAAGGGCAGCCTGTGTGCAAGAGAAGCAGAAGCAGCAGATGTTGTTTTTAGCTGTGAAAGATTTTCTGAACTGAAAATTAAACAGAGGAATGCTAAGATTTTGGTGGGGTTTTTTTTTTGTCTGTTTGTTTTAATTTTTTTTCAAAACCTTTGACTTCTTTCCCTTTTTGAAACGCTTTGTTTTCTGTTGTCTATTGAAGCTCATTCTCCTTGCTTCTCTCACATTGGACCTCAGACTTCTGTCCTGGCATGTTTGCCTACACCAGACCCTAATGGCCGCTGTCCTGAACCCACCTTCCTCTTTTCATGATTATAAATTGCAGCAGATGATACATTATATGAATGTATCATAATTTACTTAGCCAATATCCTATTGAGGGTCATTTATATGTTTTGAATTTGGGGCTACTGCATATCATACTCTGGCAGACAAACGTGTATGTATACACACACAAGGTACAGATCATATATATTGAAAATAAATATATTATTACACACGTAATTATTTTCTTACAGTGAGTTCCTGGGAATGTCTACAGTCATTCCTGTTTGTCACACCTGAGTTGTGATCTAGTAGGTAGAACCTAGGGATGCTGCTTAACATTCTGCAGTGCACAGAACATCCACCCCCCAACTCCGCCCACAATCCCAACGAAGACTGTTCAGGCCCAAAATATCAATAGTGACGAGGCTGACAAATCCTGTCTATATCCCTGCTCTTGACAGTCACAAGGTGAAGCCCAGGAATTTCAGGTCTTTGTTTCTGTACTCTAACGCACATATGGTTTTGCAAATAACCTTTTTTGTTCCATCTCCTGCCTCTGCCTACGTCCTAAAACCCTTTCCCTGTGTCCTCTGGAATTCATCAATTATCAGTAAAATACTCCTTTCTTCAAGATCTTTTCTGAATGGTGTCTTCACCTCTTGCTCTCATTAAACCTGGCTTCTGGTAACACTCCTACCCCTGCAACCCTCTTAAGCAGTGGATGTTTTCTCAGCTACATCCATTATACCACTGGGAGTGGAGTAGTGGCATGTTACTTGCTGTTCTCTGAAGCTTCCAACCCCATATTACTCTATCCCTAAAAACACACAGCTTTTCATCACACATCATTACATCTTAATATTTACTGTTTCTTTTGGGGGGTAGGCTCTACCTCAACCCAAGTCATTGCCCTTAGTCTATTAAAGATTCTAGTTCCTGGTTCACTGTAATTCCATGCAATAATATTCTTATTACAATTATTGGTTATTTCAGCACCGATGCAGATAATCCTTTTCACAACCTGGCCTGTCATTTCCTTGACGTTTTCTCCTCTCTATCTCAGTTACTCACTCTCTGAATTTTGTCATTGCCAATAACAGCAGCTCCTCCATTATCTTCCTTATAAAGATCCCACTTTCCAACCCAACAGTCTTTTTTCAGTTTTTTTTCCTCCAGTACTTCAGCTCCAACAATCCTTTGGCCCCACTCCACCAGAAAAAAAGCCATTCATTCTACCGGTTGTCTCCATCTCTTATCTCTCTCAGGTCCATATTTCCTTCTGTGTCTGGCTTAAATTGCATAGTCAGTCATTAATATCTTTCTTTTGCATGTACTCTACACACCCTTGTTCTGCTTAATATTTATCTTCATCTACTCTGTGCCAACATCTGAGAAGCTGAACGTGGCTGAAGGAAATCACACTGTTATGATTGGTCTCACCTTAATTTTTTTTTATTTTACCAATACCTCCAATGGGCCCCATAAAGCTTTCTAGGAATTTTGTTATATTGTGCTAATTCATTCATTCCCCTATACTCCTAGATCAGTGATTCATGGCCATGGCCTGCCCCATGACTTGTAGCATCGGCTTTACTTGGGAAGAATGTTAGAAATGCAAACTTTTTGCCTCAGCCCAGACCTATTAAATCAGGGACTCTGGGTGTGAGGCCTACACATCTTTGCTGTAACAAGCTATATTAGTCCCTTTTCACATTGCTATAAAGAACTACCTGAGACTGCACAATTTATGAAGAAAAGAGGTTTAACTGACTCACAGTTCTGCAGGTTGTACAGGAGGCATGGCTTGGCAGGCCTCAGGAAACTTACAATCATGGCAGAAGGTGAAGGGGAAGCCAGCATATCTTACATGGTGGGAGCAGGAGGAAGAAAGAGCGAAGATGCAGGTGCTACACACTTTTAAACAACCAGATCTCATGCGAATTCAATCATGAGAGGGCACTAGGGGGATGGTGCTAAACCATTAGAAACCACCCCCATGATCCACTCACCTCCCTTGAACATTGAGAATTACAATTCAACGTGAGATTTGGATGGGGACACAGAACCAAACCATATCACAAGCCCTCCTGGTGATTCTGATGCACACTCAGGCTGGAGAGCCCAAGTGCTAGCTCCTACCAGAGAGTTAAATCTGACTCATCACCAGTTTTGCTTGTTTTAATTTTTTAGGTAGTTGAATTGAGACATAACTCATATACCATAGAATTTACCTATTTAAAGTGTACAATTCAATGGCTTCTAGTATATTCACAGACTTGTGTAAACTTTACCAAAACCAATTTTAGAACATTTTCATCACCAAAAAAAAAAAAAAGAGAAATCCCATGCCCTTGAGCTGTTATCTCTCAATCCCCTCATCTTTCCCATTTTTAGGTCTAAAGTTGATTTTGAATTAATTTTTATGTACAGTGTGGAGTAGGGGCCCAAGTTCATTCTTTGCTTGTGCTATTCAATTGTTGCTGCCTGTTTTCATAAACAATGTTTTACTGAAACTTAGCCACACCCATTCATTTACATATTATCTATAGATGCTTTAATACTACAACTACAGAGTGTGTAGTTGAGACAGAGACTGTATGGCTTAGAAAGCCCAAAATGTTTGTTAGCTAGTCTTCTGCAGAAAAAGCTTGCTGACACCTGTCCTAAAGGATGACTTTGTATTTTCTTGTTTCCTCAAACCTCCAATACTTTCTTTGCACCTGACTGTCAGCTGAAGGCTCTGCTGATGACTTTGTGAAATTTAAAATGATTGTTAAATAGAAGAGCATTTCCACAAGTTCCCATCACTAGATGTATCAACTCTGTTACATCTGAGCTCATATTCTTTACCTTCTTCCTTGCTTCTACTTAAGACCAACCCTCCGCTTGTGTATGAGGTCGCATACCATTAATTTTCCACTCTCTTGAATCATTCCCATCAGCATACAGACATGCTATAATATTAATCATCATTAAGAATAACTTTTCCTGATCTCACTTTTCTTCCTGCAGTAACCACTATGTTTATCCCCCTTTACTATAATACTCCATGGAAGGGATGTCTCTATTTACTATGTAATTCTCTTTATATCTCTTTTTAAAACTTATTTAAGTTTTATTTCCATGACTGTTGATTGGAACTACTCAACTCCACACCTCAAAGCAATAAGAGCCATCTATGACAAACCTGAACCAATCACACTGAATGGGCAAAAGCTGGAAGCATTCCCCTTGAAAACCAGCACAAGACTGATGCCCTCTCTCACTACTCCTATTCAACATAGTATTGAGAGTCCTGGCCAGAGCAATGTGGCAAGAGAGAGAGATAAAGGGCATCCAAATAGGAAGAAAGAAAGTCAAAACATCCCTGTTTGCAGATAACATGATTCTACATCTAGAAAACCCAATAGTCTTGGCCCAAAATCTCCTTAAGCTGATAAACAACTTCAGTGAAGTTTCAGGGTACAAAATAAACATACAAAAATTACTAGCATTCCTACACTCCACTCACAGTCAAGCTGAGAACCAAATCAGGAATGCAATCCCATTCACAATTGCCATGCAAAAAAATTAAAATACCTAGGAATACAGCTAACCATGAAGGTGAAAGATTTCTACAATCAGAATTACAAAATTCTGCTCAAAGAAATCAGAGATGACAGGAACAAATGGAAAAACATTTTATGCTCTTGGATAGGAAGAATCAATATTGTTAAAATGGTCATACTGCTTGATATTGTTTGGCTCTGTGTCCCTGCCCAGATCTCATCTCCTATCGTAATCCCCATAATCCTCACATGTCAAGAGAGAAAACCGGTGGGAGGTGATTGGACCATGGGGGCAATTTCCCCCATGCTGTTCTCATGAGAGTGAGTGAATTCTCATGAGATCTGATGATTGTATAAGCGGCATTTTCCCCTTCTCTCACCTGCTGCCATGTAGGACATGCCTGCTTCTCCTTGCGCCATGATTGTAAGTTTCCTATCACCTCCCCAGCCATGCAGAACTGTGAGTCAATTACATCTCTTTCCTTTGTAAATCACCCAGTCTCAGGCAGTTATTTATAGCAGTGTGAGAATGGACTAATACACTACCCAAAGCAATTTATAGATTCAATGCTATTCCTACCCAACTGCCAATGACATTTTTGACAGAACTAGGAAAAACGATTTTAAAATTCATATGTAACCAAACAAGAGCCCAAATAGCCAAGGCAATCCTAAGAAAAAGAACAAAACTGGAGGCATAACACTACCTGACTTCAAACTATACTACAGGGCTACAGTAACCAAAACAACATGGTACTGGTACAAAAACAGACTCAGACCAATAAAACAGAATAGAGAGCCCAGAAATAAGGCCACACACCTACAACCATCTGATCTTTGACAAAGCTGACAAAAAGCCATGGGGAAAGGATTTCCTAGTTAATAAATGGTGCTGGGATAATTGGCTAGACCAATGTAGAATATTGAAACTAGACCCCTTCCTTATACCATACACAAAAATCAACTCAAGATGGATTAAAGACTTAAATGTAAAACCAAAAACTAGAAAAACTCTGGAAGACAACAGACATAGGAACTGGCAAAGATTTTATGATGGAGACATCAAAAGCAATTGCAACAAAAGCAAAAATTAACAAATGGGATTTAATTAAACTAAAGAGATTCTGCACAGCAAAAGAAACTATCAACAGTGTAAACAGACAACTACAGAACGTGAGGAAATTTTTGCAAACGATGCATCTGACAAAGTTCTAATATCCAGTATCTGTAAGGAACTTAAACAAATTTACAAGAAAAAAAACAACAACAACCCATTTAAAACTGGGCAAGGCATCAATAACAGACTGGATAAAGAACATATGGTACATATACACCATGGTATACTATGCAGACATAAAATCAATGAGATCATGTCCTTTGCAGAGACATGGATGGAGCTGGAGGCCATTATCCTTAGCAAACTAACACAGGATCAGAATACCAAATACGGCATGTTCTCACTTATAAGTGGAAGCTAAATGATGAGAACACATGAACAGATAGGGGGAACAAGACACACTGTGGTCTTTTGGAGGGTCGAGGGTGGGAGGAAAAAGAGGATCAGGGAAAATAACTAATGGGTACTAGATTAATACTTATGTGATGAAATAATATTACAACAAACCTCCATTACACAATTTACCCATGTAACAAACCTGCAGTTGTACCCCTGAACTTAAAAGTTAAAAAAAAAAATGGACAAAGGTCATGGGCAGCCACTTTTCAAAAGAATACATATGTGTAGCCAACAAGCATATGAAAAACAGCTCAACATCACTGATCATTAGAGAAATGCAAATCAAATTTTATTTCTTCATTAGACTTCCAGGAAACTATATTTTTCCTGGAAATGTGGTTCTAAAGCCTTTTAAAATAAACTTCTACTCTTGCTCTGAAACTTGCTTCAGTCTCTTTTTCTTCCTTATGCCCCTCAGCTGAATTATTTCTTCTGAGAAGGCAAGAACTGAGATTGCTGCAGACCCATAAGGATTAGCCACTGGTAACTTGGATATTATTTACTGGTTAACATAATGAAAATCTCAAACCTGAGTTGTTCGCAACCAAACTCCTGATCTTTCTCCTACCCTGCCCTTCAAGTGTCTTCCCCATTTTAGTTAAAGGCAACTTATTGCTTCTAAATTGTTGAGGCCTAAAATCTTAGTGTTACTATTGACTCCTCTTTCTTTTCAAATTCCACATCTGAAAGTTGGCTGGGAAAGTTTTACAGAGAAAATGTTTGTTTGTTTTTTTTAATTTTCTGTCTGGAGGGCAAAGGCCTAGCTGCAGGCATTCTGGAAGCAAAGAGAGGAAGGGGTTTAAGGTTCCCTATGCAGTAAGTAAACTTTGGCTCAATCCTCCTATTGTCAGCCCCTCATCCTCCACTCACTTTATTTTTATCCACCTTCCCTCATTTTGTTCCTTTTTCATTTCTCTGTTTTCTCCAGGTCCAAATCTACTTCTTCACATAACTGCACAGATCCCTCAGACCCCCACTGTGTGTAGGGCAGCTAGTTGATCCTGGTGGATTTCAAAGACACAGAACTCAAGTCTCTGACTTTTAGAAGTAAAAACATTAGGGCTGGGAGCGGTGGCTCAGGCCTGTAATCCCAGCACTTTGGGAGGCTGAGGCAGGTGGATCACCTGAGGTCAAGAGTTTGAGACCAGCCTGGCCAACATGATGAAACCCCTGTCTCTGCTAAAAATACAAAAACCTAGCTGGACGTGGTGACGGGCACCTGTAATCCTAGCTACTCGGGAGGCTGAGGAAGGCGAATCATTTGAACCTGGGAGGCAGAGGTTGCAGTGAGCCGAGATCATGCCATTGCTTTCCAGTCTGGGCAACAAAGTGAAACTCCATCTCAAAAAAAAAAAAAAAGAAGTAAAAACATTAGTGATTAGTGCGGTGCTTGTCTTGACACATCTTTGGTATATTAGGCATTCAGTTTCTTAGGATAGAAGGAGTATTTTTCTTAACCATGTTTACAGAACAATTAACAAACATTTTGGAATTAACCTGTGTATATAGGTGCAGACAACACTCTGTTTATTAAATTCTTGCCTTTTGTGTGTGTGTGTGTGTGTGTGGCTTACTGTTGTTTTGTTTTAGAATCTTGGGGTTGTTCAATAATAGTAAATAAGACAAAAATGTCTGTTTCTATCATGGGCAGTATCAACAGTTTACCATCCAATGAGAGCATCCTCCTCTGCTTTTCTTTTTCTGTCCCTTTTAAATTCTATTATGTCTGTTTCTGAGGAACTACACAGATGGCAATTATCATGAGAGTCAGTTGAATGTTGGGGATACTTTCTCCATTTTACTTTACATTTTTTTGCTGTGGCCTTGCCTATACTTTGATTATTTTTCTTAGCTGCTACTTCTTACATGGCTATATATGTGTGTGTGTGTGTGTGTGTGTGTGTGTGTGTGTGTGTGTGTGTGTGTATTCCCCCATCTGTTCATGTGTTCTCATCATTTAGCTTCCACTTATAAGTGAGAACATGCCATATATACATATATATATATTCTTTTTATTTCCTTCTCATCTCAATAGTGAAATGACTACTGTGAAAGGTTGCTTTCATTCAGTTGATCCAGACTGAGACTGGAAGGAAAAATCCTGACTCCTCTTTTATTTCCTGAGAAAAGGAAAATAGTTCAGAGCAGTCTGAGGAATGTGAGTTGTGCAAAATTTGTCAGGCCCAGAGAGTCATGAGTATAGGACTTACCCATAGTGGTGGTGGTGGAGGAGGACAATTATTTAAAGCAATTTTTTTCCTAACTAGCTGCCTTATCCATTATCTCCATGTTCCTGGGATTTGTGATACAAAGAACAATGTAAGGCCAATCAATAGCAATAATGTAAATTATTGGTAAATAACTTAGGAACTGCCTTTTCCTTTCCTTTAAAAATTTACTTGTACTTTACAGCAGGTACACTGCTAATGGGAGTGTATATTCGGGGCAAGTTGAATATATGCTCTCTGGTTCTAGTCCTCAAACTTCAACCAAATAAACTCTTCACTTATATTAAGTTTGCCTCAGTTTTTTCCTTTAGGTCGACACTCCTAAACCTGGTCTGTTAGCTCTCTCCAGCTCAACCCCCAGAAAGATTACTTGTGTGTTTTATTTGTGCTTTAATTTTTTCCCATCTTCTTCCCCAATCTTTTCTTAGTTCTTTAAAACATCTTTTCTTTTGAGACTTTTGCTCAAAAGAAGATGGGGAAGGGAACACTGGATTTTCTTCCTGGATTTGCATACATTAGATCCATTATGTCAGTGAGATATATCCTGAAATTTGCATTCTCCAAATTTGCTTATATTATTATAAAATATAACTGTCATGCATTCATTACAGTGAAGTGTAACTGAAAATTCAAAAGTCCTGATAGACTTTTGGTAACAGTTACTAAGCGGGCAGTTACGAGCAGCAAATCTGCTGAGTGAGGTGTACCGCACGTGTAACTTTCAAAAGAAGCCACAGACTCTTGGGAAGTTTTTTTAAAACATTAGAAGCCAATAAAAGTTGGCCCTAAAATGCCAAGAGGCTTGGAATTTTCTTGAAATTTTTTCAAGAAGGATTCCCTAAATATGACTAATGACTAATGGCAGAGGAGGTAAACTAGGAATTCATTTTCTTTCCTTCTTTCATCTAAGGGTGGTGGTCGTGGGGGAGAACGGTCCTGGTTGCAGGAAGTGAGATTTAGATTTACCTGTGGGTGGTTCCTGCTCTTGTTTTACCTGAATTGATTTTTAAATTCTTTGCAAGTAAAAAATGTGTGTGTCATTTACAAGACAATATGAGAGTTAGGCAACAATAGTAATTGTCATTTAAAAACTTTTCTTTTCTAAATTACTTCTTATTTTGAATTTGCAGTTTCTGCCTATAAGGCAGTTCTATTTACAATAAGTAGAATAATTTATTAGGGTGGGCATATCATAGATGATATGGTAAAAATTGCTGTTCATTTAAGAAATACAATTAGTCTTGACTTGATGTCATCCATAGGTTCTTGGAAACTATGACTTTAAGCAAAATGACATATATATATATATGTATGTAACAAAACCATTTTTTCTTATCAATGTTATAACAAAACTATATTGAATAAAATTATGCTATTCAATGACCTGCTGCATGTTGTTTTGCTTAAAGTCACAGTTTCCAAGAACGTGTTGATGATGTTAAGTGAGGACTTAAATGTATAAAATTTTGAGAAATAAATGGAACACATTTAGGAGCATGCTGGATTTCTTCCTCCTTCTCCTCTCAAATACCTACTTGTTTTATCTTTATAGAAAAACTTATTTAAAAGTGAGACTGGGTTCCAAATGCAATGAAAGGTGAGGGGGTGATAAAACAGGACAAACTAGTAAGCTTTAACATTAGCTCACATATATTAAGAACATGGCTCATTTAATCTTGACAACCCTATGATGTTCTCCACTGTCCTGATGGGAGAAAGCGAGACTTAGTGACTTGCTAGTGAGAGGCAAAGAAGGGATTAAATCTAAGTCCCATTCACTCTGGTGCTCAAGTGCCAAACCACTACCTTTCAGGACCTCACAGGAAGAACCAGACGAAAATAGAGAATGACTGGGGAAGAGAGAAAACCAAAGTAGGTGGGAGAAAGAGAGGCAGCCTGAGTGGCTAGAATCAACTTCCCAATTTCAGGAGCACGGACTCAGCACCCAATGTGGATGGAAGAGGTCTCCCTTATTAAAAACATTTGAGGGATTGACTGCAGGAGCTGACCTGAGGGGTATCCAAGGTTTGTTTTTGTCTCTCATCTGTTATCCCTTTTCATTATAAAGAAATTTCTGAGATCTGTCACACTCATTACAACAAATGTCACTACACTGAAAAATGTTTGAAATTCCTCATTTCAAGAACCAGTATTTCTCATGTGTATATTTTGCAAAATTCCTAAAGTAAAGCAAGAGAGAAGCACACTGAGCCTCAGGTCCTTGTTGAAGTCATGATGGTCCAGGGCCCTTTCCCAGCTTTTCCTACTTAGGAATTAAATTTCAGCAGTTTTTCCATGAGCGTTCAATCATTTGCAGTGGGATTCACAGTGACCAGTCATACGATTCATTCATTTCAACAAGTAGTTGCTGAAAACATTTTGTGTTGAATATTCTCCTTTGAACCCTCTAGAATTTCTGTCCCTTTCTGCACCTGCTCTGCCCCCAGAATGGGAGGTGATCTTTTTGGACTTCACTAACAATCTGGCTCTATTTATGTCCAAATAGTAGAAGCCATCAGCAGGAGATGAAGGGGCAGGAGGAGAGTGAAGTAAGATTATTCCTTCCCTATGGAAGAACAGGGGTCTGCAAACTGTAGCCCAGAGGCCCTATCTGCCCTGCAGCCTACTTTTGTAAATTAAGTTTTATCAAAACACAGCCACACATATCCATTTAAATATGGCCTATAGCTGCCTTTTACATTCCAGCCAGCAGAGTTGAGTAGTCATGACATGACAGAGATGGTATGATCTGTGAAGCCTAAAATATTTATTTTCTGGCCCTTTACAGAAAAAAGTTTGTTGACCCCTGCCTTAGGTAGGTTCCTCTTCAGGTAGGATTAATCTTTTTTTGTTTGTTTTTGAGATGGAGTCTCACTCTTGTCACCCAGGCTGGAATGCAGTGGTGTCATCTCGGCTTACTGCAACCTCCTCCTCCCGGGTGCAAGCGATTCTCCTGCCTCAGCCTCCCAAGTAGCTGGGATTACGGGCCCTTGCCACCATGCCTGGCTAATTTTTGTATTTTTAGTAGAGACAGGGTTTCACCATGTTGGCCAGGCTGGTCTCAAACTCCTGACCTCAGGTGATCTGCCCACCTTGGCATTCCAAAGTGCTGGGATTACAGGCATGAGCCACTGTGCCCGGCCGGCAGGATTAATCTTTAGGCAGCTTTATTCCTGTCACAAACCACTACTGTTGGTTGAATGGCACTCTCTACAGCTACAGCTACAGCTACACTACAGGTAGAACTATTCCTGAGTTCTGGTAATTATTTCTTTCCCTGGCCCTGTTTAGGCCTACGAGTGATTGTCAGTGTTGCTAGTCCCAGGGACTACATGGCACATATACTGCCACTTTCCTTTATCCCTGCATACACTCAGTCCTTTTGTGTCTCCTAATTTACCCAGTTGGATTGTGCCACCTATTTCCTGCTAAGACCCCAACTGACTTATTACACGCATAGCATCGTACTAGAAGCAATAAATAAATAGAAAAGAAAAGAAAAGAGGAAGTCCACGTACATATTCTTATTTTATGGTGGTGATGACAGGTGAGCTGAGCAATGTGGATAAGGTAAGTATGAATAACTGTGATAAAAGGAAGAATGTGATAAGTACAATAAGAGAGGCCAATACACAAGGGAGAAGGGAAACAATCACATGTGGTTGAAATATTCAGGAAAGTTTTCATTATTTAAGTGGCATTTGAGCTGAACCCCAAAGGGCTGGTTAGTTTTAGAAAGGTGAATATTTTTGTAAATTAGAATTACAGATAAGTCTACAACATGAGGTATTTGGAGGAAAATAAATAATGATTTCCAGTTTCTTCAGTGAGACAATTAACAGGGCACTTTGGCCATTATCTCATTTTGTTCTCATGACTCCACGAAGTAGTGGCTATTATTAACCCATTAACAGATAATGGAGCACAGGCTTTTTTTGAAAACTAAGTAACTTGCCCATGATTTACAACTCAAAGGAGAAGAGTAAGGATTCTTACATTCTTACCCAGATGCTTAATCCTTAGGAAGATAGCAAGGCATAAATTGTGTTTCAGTGGTGGTTTCAGGCTGGTTCTGCTGCAGAAATAAAGCCAAGGTCATTGATTTTGGCCACATCTGAAGCAACTAACATTATGTGAAGAACGTTGGGCTAATGTTCCACAAGTACTGGGTAGTCTCTGAGGCTTTTTGCTTAGGCCAATGAGACAATTGGAGTTGTATGCTTAAAAAAATATGGTCTACGTTATATATAAAAAGGGGTTTGAAGTAGGGTGATAGTAGTGGGGTTTTTAAAGGACAGTGTCAACACCAAGGGTAAGGCTGAGGGGCCAGAGGAAGAACTGAAGTGACCGTGGCTTTTTAAGTCTGGATAGGTGGTGAGTAGGAAGGCAGTGATATTAGTAACAGAGCTGGTGAGCACAAAAGGGAAGGCTTTATTTTATTTTATTTTTTGAGACAGGGTCTTACTCTGTCACCCAGACTACAGTGCAGTGGCATGATCATGGCTCACTGCAGCCTCAACATCCTGCGGCTCAAGTGATCCTTCCACCTTAGCCTCCTAAGTAGTTGGGACCACAGGTATGTGCCACTACACCTGGCTTTTTAAAATTTTATTTATTTTTATTATTTTTATTTTTAGTAGACACAGGTCTTGCTACGTTGCCCAGGTTAGTCTTAAACTCCTGGGCTCAAGTGATTCTCCAGCCTCAGTCTCCCAAAGTGCTGAGATTACAGGTGTGAACCACTACACAGCCTTTGGAAGACTTTCCAAGAATGATAAGGGATCCGATTTTGGAAATGTGAAGCTGAAGATACAGAAGAAAATTCCAACTCTACTTACAGATAAAATTCTAATTTGGGGTTGGGCACAGTGGCTAACACCTGTAATCCCAGTGCTTTGGGAGGACGAGGTGGGAGGATAGCTTGAGGCTAGGAGTTCCAGACCAGTGTCCTGGTCAACACAGCGAGACCCCATGTCTACCACAAATAAATAAATAAATAATTTTCTCTGCAATTGGAGATATGAGTGGAGTCTCAAGAACGTTCTGGCTATAGATTGTTGACATAGGAGTTCAGTAGCTAAATACATCTATGGCAGGTATAAGAAGAGTAAGTGGTGGAGAAAGTTGTAAAAACAGGAGGGAAGATTAACTTCTGACCGTTGACGCCTTGGGGAATCACAGCTGGGCTTCAGACGATTCTTCAGTTCCTAGTGCTGGGGCTAGTGTCTATGAAATACGTTTTCCCCCTCCCTCCAGGCCTCCTAGGTAGTTAGGACTTTTCAATAACATTGGACATTGCCATATGCACATGAACACACTCAGTTTTAATTTCTCAGATTCTCCGCTTGCTGGCTTCTAAAACTGTTGTAAGAACTGTTATCTGGCTTCACAGGGTTGTGACAAGGCGGTGAAATGCTTTGAAAAGTGTCTATAGCTAAACAAACGTGAGGTACCGGCGCTCGCAACTTTTCCCCAGGAGATGTGCACCTCTATTTAGAGCGTAATGCCCAGACTATTTTCGTTGCTTTCCGTCCCCGCCCGCCTTCTGCCACGGACAGTTACAAACCTGGTCGATAATTATCCTGGGAGAACTCGACGTCCCAGCTAAGAACGCAGGTCAGAGATCAGAGATCAGAGACAGAAGGATCTTGGGGAGGAGCAGGGGCCGGGCATGACGTAGCAACTGGCAGCGCCGCCGATTGGCAGATGAGAAGGTTGTTCCCTCAGGGCGGCTGCTGATTGGCTACGGGAGGCAGAGGCGTGACGTCCTCAGAAGTTGAGCAAACACCTCCTACTTCCCGGCCTTCCATCCCAGTTTCTTCTAGGAATTCGGAGCCTCCCCTGCAGCGACTCGGAAGATTCGAGGCGGCGGGGGACAAGTCGGCGCCCCAGAGCGGACGAGGTGAGGAGAGGAGAGGTCCCCGCGGAGAGCTGAGCAGACGCGCGGGTGGGCTCAGCCTGTGAGATGCGGTGGAGATAGCGGGCCGGGCTCGGGCTGTCGCTGGGAGGGGCCCGCGAGCCTGGCCTTCGGGTCCCGGCGCCGCGAGGCGACCCCGGCCGGGCCGAGAGAGGGAGAAGGCGGCGAGCATTCGGGCCTCCCTGCGAGGAATGGAGGGAGAGCGGAAACGCAGAGAGTTTCACTGCGAGGAAGGGAGGGAGAGCGGTCAGCGCAGCTCCAGCATTTCTAAGTAGAAAGGCGAGGGATTGCAATTCGGATTTCTTTTCTTTCTTTTTTGGCGGACAGTGGTGGTGCTGTGGCTGGGGAATAAAGAACTGATGAAGCTGAGGAAACAACGGCTTGTTAATTTGTGGACGGCGTGCTTAGAGGGGACGGCTGGCTGAGGGGGCGGTGGATGGAGATTTCGGGGTGGTTCTTTCCCCCTTCCCTCCCCACGCCCAGCTTAGCCAAACTGATCACAAACTTCTCTCCTTGTCCATCTTGGGCTGCCCACTCTCCGAGACACAGACCCATTCTCCAGCAAGGATCGGAGATGGGTGGAAGTTGGGCGCCTTGCAAGTCTGGGTTTCCTGAACTCTTCAGCCCCTGCGGGACTATGCAGCCCATTGTGAGCGCTCGCGCGGGACGGGGCGCGGGGAGAAGCAGTTTACCCACCCTCCTCGGTTGAATGGGGCTGAATGTCTGTCTATCCTGACAGCTTCAGAAGAAGAAATGTGCTTTTCAGACATTGATTTCAGGGGAATGGGGGTGGGGGGAGCGGAAGAGAGAGAGAGAAAGAGCGCTCGAGCGCGAGAGAGAATGAATTAGTTCAGTAACTTGAACAAGGATTAACATTTTTTGATGTTGTGGGTTATCAGTGGGGAAGGTGCAGCTGTGAGATGTAGTTATACACAGGACGGAATGGTCCTTGACTGAAGCTGCGGCTTTCCAATACTGTATTAAAAAAAATCCCAAAACACTGATGGCACTTTGGTGTTTCTGGGTTTGTCTGTTTTGTCCCCTGCACTCCCCTCTTCTTTTTTTCCCATGAAGATGAGTGAATCTAGGGCTACATGACTTGACTGTGTAACCTGGTGGCCATTCTGCAAAATGAGTTAGGTGGACAAAAATTGAAGCCAATTTACCTGAATCATTTTCCCACTCTTCAGATAATCATATTTGTTATCAGTTTCACTTGTTATTGATGATGGCGTGATCAGAACTTTGGTTTATTTGTCATTGAATTTTTTTTCTCACTAGTCGTTTAACAGACCTTGGTTCGGAATTTTGGAAATGATCTTTGGTGTTTAAGAAGCCACCATTTAACAAAACATTTTCATTTTTTTCATATATTCTTTTATTAATTTTCTCATAGAAATAACATTACAAACAGTGGTAAGTTTTCTTGGGAAGGCTACAAAAGATTCTATGCAATTCATGAAATCATGGAAACAAACATTTGGAATGGAAAATAACCCCAAAACATTATTACCACATTCATCTGATCTAAGGTGTCATCTATTGTAAGATGCATCCCTATTTCACTGATGCTAAAATGTGTAAAAAAATTGTCTTAAATTTGATGAAATACAACATTAAAATGGTAATTTATTTATCTTGAACATGCATGCCTGAAGTTTGAAGTTGAAGAGAGGGCTTATTGGGCTCTAATTATTTTTTTTCCAAAATAATGTAAGGGTGGGGGATTAATATGGAGCCATCGTGAAGGTCTTACTACAGTGTGACAGAGGAAAGAAATGTGAGTCTACTGTTAGCGGCGTGGTTGTGCTCGCTTTTGAGGAGTAGGCAAGCCTGGAGGCTTTTTCTTTTCTTAAAATTTATTGTTTATGACACACAGCAATGCTCAGCACTTTATGCATATTAGCTCAATTAAACGTCTTAAGAGCCCTAAGAGGTAGAGGTTAATATGATTCTCATTTTGCGCATGATGCACAGACAGGTTAAGTTGCCAGCCAAGGTCACAGAGTAAGTTTGGCCGCTGAGGAACCCAGGAGAGAAACCAGTATTCCTTTGAGGTATCCATCTTCTGTTGCAAGCTCTTGGTTCCTGGTCCATGCTATTAATGCAGGTAGCTTAGGTGAATGTCCACTCTTTCTTGATTGTGTTTTTGGTATTTTGTTTCCCTGTTTGGTGTACTTTAGCTAGAAATTCATAAGTCAGAGTGCCTATTTATGTTCTACATTTCTAATGTTTTTGTAATTCTCAGTGTCCAGTTACTACTATGCTTAATAGAATCAGAATATCAGAGCCTGAAAGGGACTTTAGTATTATATTTTTGTCTGGGTAAGGAAACTGAAGTCAAGAGGAGGAACCCTACATCTAGTTATGTGTCCCAGCTCCCATGTCTAAGTTTTCCCACTATACTGTACTATATTTCACGACATTTGTTGATCTATGAGATCTTGGAAGAGAATCAAGTTTTTTTTTTTTTTTTTTTTTTTTTTTGCAGGGTTAGGGGGATGTGAGTCTCTTATTAATGTGTCTATTTTATCTGTTTGTTTGTTTGTTTGTTTTCTTGCTGCATAGGTCTTTATAATGTTTATTGAATTTGCTTTTTCATTTATTCATTCTTTCTTAAAACACTTGCTGTTTTCCCATGTGCCAGTCATTGGGAATACAGAGATGAGTAAAACACAACTCATACACATTTGCAGTTTAGCAAAGAGACAGACAAGTAAGCAGATAAGCATTTTGGACTAGACTCCGATTTAGAACTAACTTTGTATTCCATTTCAATGAAGCTAAAATTATAAGCTAGAGACCAGGAGAAATATGTGTCATGTTTATGGATGACTTTGAGTAGGTGATGGGCTGGAGAAAATATGAAAATTCTCAGACCAGATTAGTTAACACTAATAGACCTCCTCCCCCAAAGTCTACCACTTTCTTCTTAATCCAGTAAAGTATTTTATAGAGGGTTTAACATGGAAGCATTAAAAGAATGTACCCACGCACAGGAAGTCAAAGTATGACCAGTGTTAATGCAAGCCCAAGCCTAGTTCTAGCAAGCCTTGAAATTGGGAGGGATTTGGATTAGTTCTAGGCCATCATCTGGTGCTGTGTTAATTCTGGAACTCTTTTGAACCTCTCCAAAAAATATTATGGTTTGGATACTTAGTGTAGGCCAAGACTCATAGCCATAGAGCTGCCATACTTATTTACAGACACCAGTGCTTCTTGGGAAACCATGGATTTTAATATATACTTGTATTTTTTTTTTTTTTTTAGTTACTTGGAAGGGTGAATATAAATAATTAGCGCTGTTCATCCTTGAACTTATTTTCTTCATCTAAAGACTACATTACCTCATTCTTAGTCTCTCAATATTTAATCACAATATATGCCTGATTATTGCAAATAATTTGTCATTCAGAAATCCCCCGTGTGATTTGATAGTTTTGGTTTGAGTCATTGAATTATGCTGTAGTGAAATTATTTTAAATATCTAAAATAGATGGACAAAGAGCACGTTCCTAACTGTGGGGATTAAAGTTGGAACATTTGGCCTTAATTTCTTCAAAAATGAATGTGTGATCCTTCATACATATCCCAAAAGAAGTAACAGAAATTAAGAGGTGCAATGCTTAGTTCATTCTTTTTTTTTTTTTTTTTTTTTTTGAGACTGAGTCTCGCTCTGTCGCCCAGGCTGGAGTGCAGTGGTACGAACTCGGCTCACTGCAAGCTCCGCCTCCCGGGTTCCACGCCATTCTCCAGCCTCAGTCTCCCGAGTAGCTGGGACTACAGGCGCCCGCCACCGACCCTGGCTAATTTTTTGTATTTTTAGTAGAGACGGGGTTTCACCGTGTCAGCCAGGACGGTCTCGACCTCCTGACCTCGTGATCCGCCTGCCTCAGCCTCCCAAAGTGCTGGGATTACAGGTGTGAGCCACCGCACCCAGCCGCTTAGTTCATTCTTAAGCTCTTGTAATGCTTGTGCATTGTTTTGCTTAGGTAGGTGATCTATAAGCTTAAAAAGTATTCTGATTGGGTTGGTGCTATGGAAAGGGTTGAAGAGACTTAAAGAATTTTAGCTATTTGATGGAAGAGTAAAAAGCTCTATGAAAATCTCAGCTCTCTTCATCTACCCCGTTCCCTTATAAAAACTGCAAAAATTAAATACATCATTTGTTTGTTTGTTTGTTTGTTTGTTTGTTTGAGACAGTCTCACTTTGTTGTCCAGGTGGGAGTGTAATGGCATGATCTTCACTTACTGCAAACTTCGCCTCCTGGGCTCAAGTGATTTTCATGCTTCAGCCTCCCGAGTAGCTGGGACTACCAGCATGCGCCACCACGCCCAGTTAATTTTTGTATTTTTAGTAGAGATGGGGTTTTGCATGTTGCCTAGGCTGGTCTCGAACTCCTCAGGTGATCTGCCCACCCTGGCCTCCCAAAGTGCTGGCATTATAGGCATAAGCCACTGTGCTTGGCCAAACACATCATTTTAAGGCATAAATATTGCCTGAAAAGTAGCAGAGAGAAAAATCTTGATCGAGTTACATTTAAAAAGTTATACCAACGAGAACAGACTTACTGTGACATCCATTATGATAAGTCATAAAAATACATAATAGTGGCTTGGAAAATGCTTTCTATAAAACAGAAAAAAATCCCCTATTTCTATGGGCCTCACTATTCTCATTTGTAATACTAGATTTTAGATTACATTCTATCAGTCCCACTTTGACTCTAATATTTGGATATAATCAATAATTAATAATTCACTATCAGATATTGATCAGCACCATTTAATTTGATAAAACTAATCCTGAACATGGGCAGGGATTGGATTACTGCTTCTTTATATCTTTACCAAGTGCATCATGCCGTGCATATCTTAAGTAGCCCCCAAATATTTTTTTAATTAAAGAGAATCAAAAGCATTTGTCCCATATTCCGTGTACAAAAGATTTTATTTTGATAACTCTATCAAGAGACTTTCTGGATTTCATTATAATTTAAATATTAGAAAATATTTGTGCTATAAGCAAATGACTAGCTGTTTTTATATTAATATGTGTAATTGTACAAAAGACCACTTTGCTCACACTCTGAAAGGACCTTTCTAACCACACATGAGATTCTCTGTCCTGAGAGTGGCTTTTCTTAAATATAATATTTTATAAATACATTTTACAGAATCTGCTTTGCTTTGGTTACTCCATGTGATTTAGAATGATGGTGTACTCAGTGACCATAGGACAGCTCATGGTCATTGAAAGAAAATGGGATGTGTATGGAGTGCCGAGCTCTGTCTCTGTGTCCTTTTTTTTCTCTCTCTCTCTATCTGTCTCTGTCATTTTCCTTTCCCTTTTCTGGAAAATAATAAAAAAATACAAAGAACATTCAAGCATGTTCTTTCTTCTGATTCTCATGTTTTTGTTGCAAAGTTAGCAAATTAAAAGATTAAGTCTTGCCACCTTGAGAGATGGAAAGATAAGACAGTATCATAGAGTATGTTCTCCTATTGCTACTGGGCAACCTTCACTATTATCTTCCTGTCTCAGTACATAGTAGTTCCTTCTTATCCAAGTTTTCGCTTTCCATGGTTTCAGTTACCCACTGTCAATCTGGTCTGAAAATAGGTGAATAAAGTACACTAAGATATTGTGAGAGAGAAAGAGAGAGTGAGAGAGACCACATTTACATAACTTTTATTACAGTATATTGTCATAATTATTCTATTTTATTATTGTTGCTAGTCTCTTACAGTGCCCAATTTATAAATTAAACTATATCATAGGTATGTATGTATAGGAAAAAACATAGTATATATAGGGTTTGGGACTATCAGAGATTTCAAGCATCCACTGGGCTTCTTGGAATGTATTACCCACAGATAAACAGGGTCTACTGTATCTCGCTGCAATTCACTATAATACTCCCATGACTTTTAGAGACATTTCAAATTCCTCATCAATTTTAGGTAAATAAAAATGTATACCTTAGTGGTGTTCTGTTTTACAAAAACAGAGAAGAAATCTTTTAAGTTTCATTTTTATATTTGAAATGTTAACCTTCATGTAACAAAGGGAAGACTGTTACAATTCATCAGAGGAAGGGTCTTGTACCCCACCCTTGCCTGTGTGACACTTCTCTTTCTCTATTTTCCTCCTCTTTGTTCTTTCTAGCTCTTTTTTTCCCCCTCTCTGCCTCCTGCTTTTCTACATCCTCCTTGCTTGTGTTACAAGCTGTTATCAGCACCCGACATTGTCGGGTAACCTCACTAGAGCTGGTGGTGAGTAAACCCTGATCTTCCCTCCTTCCTTCATTGAAGGCATTCCAGAAATATACATTGAATTTACTTCCTGATATTCTTGAAAAATACCACAAAATCCAGGACAGAAAAAGCTAAAGCAGCCTCCGTTGGCATTTCCATGAAATACTAGACACCTGCAGTGCAATTCAGAAATTCTCACTATTTCCTATTTCTTGAAGACCTTAGAAGCAAATGAACTGTGGATCTTGAAAGTTCTATGCTGAGACCAAGTTTTAAGGTTCAAGCAGTAACTAGCAGTTATACTATAATCAAACCATTTTTTTTCTAAGCACCCAGAAATCTAGAATTTATCTTGGCAGGTACTCAGGAATGATTTTCAGTATAAAGCAGGAAAAGGGGTCAAGAGAGGCACGGCATGCTACGGGGAGAACTGTTAATTCACTGTGACTGTTGAAGGCAAAGCCATATGGATCTGATTTCTTTCTGAAACAAGAGTTGGCTGGAGTTAACAGCATGTGTTGGATCTATATGGTGTGAATCTGTAGGCTTTGGCAAAGAAGAGAAAATTCCAGGTGTTAAACATTAAACTAGGAATCCTGCTTCTGCTTAAAAGCAACAGATCCTATATGATTCCAGTTCAGTTTCTTCATCTATAAAATGGGGATATGTATCTACTTAATAAGATTTTTGCAAGGAGGAAATAAGATGATATCCATAAAGTGCTCAGCATAGAGCTTGGCATGTGATGCTTAATCAATGGTAACTACTGTTACATTTGTTTAAATAATGAAAGTTACAGAAATTATTATTTAAGCCTTCCATGCAAAAAGTGAAAGTGAAAGTAGCTTCCCAAATAAACTGAAGCTCAGTCCCAGGCACTTCTGTCTTTTTCCCTAGTCTTCCAAGATAGTTGGCCTTTGCAAGTATATGTGTGTATGTTACAAGTGACTGTCTGTATTTGTGTCTGTGTGTGTGTCTACTGCTTTCCCGCCCTATCCCAGACAAAGAAGGTGGTGGGAGAAGGAGCAGGGATTATTACTGAGTGAGGGATGAGTGAGGTTAACATTCAAGCTTGGGCTAGAGGGGAGGGATTAAATTATCTCCACATGTTCCTCCTGATGGAGTCAAGAATTTCAACTCATAATAAAAGTTACAGGGGTATGTAGTCACCTGTGAATTCATGAAACACAGCCCCTGCTGGGAAGATGGGATGGTTTCTGGACATTTGTGTATGTTCAAAGGAATCACTATCTTTGGAATTGGTTTTATTAGAAACTGAGGGATTCAGGTTCTAGTTTTTCTTTTGGCTTCGAGAAGACTGAATGTTATGGGTTTGGGATTGAGTTTAATGCAATCTATTTTAAAAAACAGAAGATATGAATAAACAAAAAATAGATGCAGTATATAACAGTCGTTTACTGAAATGTTGATAATCTATTTTGCATGCATATTTTGCCCTGAATAAAAGCCTAAACTCCTAATCATCAGCAGTTTCTCTTGCTGTGTGCAGCTTTTTTTCTTCTTGGCCATCTTCCTAAAGCCTTCTTAGCTGGACTCTTCGCTGTTTGGTCTGTTGTCTGATTCTGTTGTAAAGTGTCCTATAAATTTACTGTCTAGGTAGCAAGTAGTTGTTTGCCCCCAGGAAATGTACTTGTATGCTTAATTGTTTGGTCAAGCCTTCCCCATCCATCAAGCTGGTGCTCTTCCAAGATTGCAGTCTGATGTAAAATAAATGTGTTTCATGCAAGCTTTTCTATATGTTGTTAGCGGTGATGGGTAGAAAATTTCTGGAAGGTATAAAAATCATTGAATCCTTATATTTTGCTGCCAAGTTTACATGGAAAACTAAGTTTTATCATTCAAATGATCCAGCAAATCATCATCTGAAATGACATTTGGCTACAAAATTGAAGTTGGATAGAATCCAATTGAAGTTGGGTAGAATACTGTTAAGCCTGGATATTTATGCTTTAAAAATTTACATAAGATTTATTCTGCATAGGAATAAATGAACCTGTATATAAAAATTAGGAGCATCTGGGTGAAAATAAAATGTTTACTAGTGTCACTTTAATTTCTTTAATTTGGTTTAAAGTATTATTTCCACCGTATTCTACGCTTCCTCCAGCTGAGGGAAAAAATAACTACTTTTAGTAGATGATATCTTTCAATCATTCTCTCCTTCATATGCAGCCCTGGTTCTGGGACTAGGGGGACAAGACACTTCTTGTACCAAGAGAATGCTGCTTTGAGTAGAGTTTATTCATGAGAATATACCTTGCCTGCCACATTGAGAGAAGCCCGTTACATTCATCATAGTAAGCCTTTAGTAACTATTTCTTGATTGACTGAATGAGTGGAATTACACAATCTTCTCACTTGAATAGCAGTTGGAAAACTGGTTGAGGCAGGTCGGGGTTTAATACAACAGCAGACGGCCATGTATGGAGAGAAAACCCAGGAAGAGGAACTGGCATGTTTAGAGCAACAAAGGTGAACAGTGAAGGTGAGCTGGACTCTAGGAAGCAGAGTGATTTAACTCTGCTTCTTAATCTTCTAACACCTCTGGTTAAAGAATAGGTTTGTTTGGTCGATTGGTTTTCTTTTTTTTTTTTTAATACTTTAAGTTCTAGGGTACATGTGCACGACGTGCAGGTTTGTTACAGATGTATACATGTGCCATGTTGGTGTGCTGCACCCGTTAACTCGTCATTTACATTAGGTGTATCTCCTAATGCTATCCCTCACCCCTCCCCGCACCCCATGACAGGCCCCAGTGTGTGATGTTCCCCACCCTGTGTCCAAGTGTTCCCATTGTTCAATTCCCACCTGTGAGTGAGAACATAAGGTGTTTGGTGTTCTGTCCTTGTGATAGTTTGCTCAGAATGATGGTTTCCAGCTTCATCCATGTCCCTACAAAGGACATGAACTCATCCTTTTTTATGGCTGCATAGTATTCCATGGTGTATATGTGCCACATTTTCTTAATCCAGTCTATCACTGATGGACATTTGGGTTGGTTCCAAGTCTTTGCTATTGTGAATAGTGCCACAATAAATATACATGTGCATGTGTCTTTATAGCAGCATGATTTCTAATCCTTTGGGTATATACCAGTAATGAGATGGCTGGGTCAAATGGTATTTCTAGTTCTAGATCCTTGAGGAATCGCCACATTGTCTTCCACAATGGTTGAACTAGTTTACACAGGTTGATTGGTTTTCTTAAATTTCCAATCTGTTGAGGACCAATACTTTTGTAAAATCCGGTAACAATAAATTACTAGAAAAAATGATCTTGTGGCTTGACATGGTGGATCACCCCTGTAATCCCAGTAATTTGTTATAAATTAAAAAAAAGAACTTAGCCAGGTGGGTGGTTGTGCACCTGTAGTCCTAGCTACTAGGGAGGCTGAGGCTGGAGGATCACTTGAGCCCAGACTGCAGTAAGCAATGATCTCACCACTGCATTTTAGCATTGACAGAGTGAGACTTCATGTCTAAAAATAAATAAATAAATATGATCATGTGATATTAAGGCTTCTAAATGCTTACTTTCTATTTATGTACACATCTAATTGTGAACCAGTTTTTTTGTTTTTTGTTTTTTGTTTTAAAAAAACAGTTCAGTGCAGTTCACTGACTGACACTAGGGCACACTGAGAAACACTTGTTTTGGGAATGGTCAGAGATGAACTGGAAAGAGGTTGGCACTAAATTGTGAAGAATCTTGTATACCATTATAAGGATTTCAAACTTTACGCCATCAAAATTTAGACCAATCTGAAAGTCTTGCTCTTTATTATTTTCCTGGATTTGCATTGTAGATTAATTTGTTTAAAACTTTTGTGCCGAATAGATGTTTGATAAAATGTGTATTTAAAAAGCTATTTTAGCTTAGCAGTTATTGGATGGTGTCACACACGTTGCTCTATACTTTTTAAAATTTTGCAGTTAAATAATCTTGTTTTTGAAAACTTGGCTTTAAAGGAACACTTGACATCCCAGTTTTCCCTTCCCTCTTCTCTACCTTGTGTCTGTTTTCATAAGAGCGGGTTGTATTTTACCTCAGATTTCTCAGGAGACCAGAACTGATCTGCCAGCCTTGCTGCCTTTTGTTGCTCTGCTCTTTACATTGTCTTTACAGTCACCAGGTGTCAAGATGCTGCAAGTACATAGGACTGGACTGGGCAGGCTGGGGGTCAGCCTCTCCAAGGGTCTTCACCACAAAGCTGTGTTGGCCGTCCGGAGGGAGGATGTGAACGCCTGGGAGAGAAGGGCCCCGCTAGCTCCCAAGCACATCAAAGGCATCACCAATCTGGGATACAAGGTCTTGATACAGCCTTCGAATCGGCGGGCCATTCATGATAAGGTGAGTATTTCCAATATTTTTATGTGAGAATAAAATGAACCTGCATATGAAAATTAAGGAGCATCTGAGTGAAAATAAAATGTTTGCTAGTGTCACTTTGATTTCTTTACTTTGATTAAAAGTATTATTTTCACCCTATGCTTACTCCAGCTGAGGAATAAAAGAACTTACTTTTAGGAGATGTTATTTTTCAATCATTCTCTCCTTCATGTACAGCCCTGGTTCTGGGACTAGGGGGATAAGACTCCATTCTTGCACCCAGAGAATGCTCCTTTGAGAATGTACCTTGCCTGCCACTCTGAGAGAAGCCTGTCATGTTCATCATTCCACTTGCTCTTCAAAATAATATTATGGTATAGGTTTGACTCATTCCTATTTTAGCAATATACATATATATGTATACTTTTCCTTTCCTGAGCCATTTTAAAGTAGATCACAGACATCATAACTCATTACTATTAAATGCTCCAATGTGCATCTCCTCAGAATAAGCCATGTTTTCTACATAACCACAATATGACTTTCATACCTAAGAAATTAATAATTCATAATATCATCTTATATAGTCTATGTTCAGATTCCCCATTGCCTCAAATGCCTTTTATTTTAATTGAGGCTTAATGAAGCTTTATTGCATTTTATTATTGTGTGTCTTTAGTTCTTTCAATCTAGAACAGCACATCCCTTTCTGATTTTGTTTCAATGATATTGACATTGACATGGACTCTAGACCCCAAGACTTACAGAGTGTCCTGCTACTGGGCACGAATAATCTGGTTGTTTTCTCGTGAATAGATTATATTCTAATTATATTCTATATGTTATATTCATGCCAAAAATGTTTGGCATGAATACAACATAAGTGATATATGTTCTTCCCATGGCATCACATCAAAGGCACAAAACATCTGGTCGTCCCATGGTTGGCAATGTGTGGTCACTTGGTTGAGGTGGTTACAGTGAGAGCTCTTCATTGTTAAAGTCTATATCACCCTTTGTAATTACTGAGTCATCTGTGGTATGGTATTTTAAGATCTGTGATGTTCCTATTCCTCAAATAACTTTACAACTAATCATGTCAGCCTCCATTGATAATCTTTGCCTGGATCAGTTTTTACATGGAGACTTGTGAAGTGATGCTTTTCTAATTTTATCACTCCCCTAAGTTTGTTTGCTGACATTCTTCTTTAGAAAAGAGGTTTTCTTTTCTTTCTCTTCCACTCCTCCACTTTTTTGAGTTGTGAACTGTTCTATTACAGTGCATTGAACTGTTTACCAAACTGTGAATTCTGTAATTCAGTGTTTAAACAATTTCTTTAAAAAACTTTCTTATCATTGCATTTAAAGCCTTGTTATGAGGAGTTTATATATACATCTTCATGTTGACAAGATGAATCTTAGGATGTTGCTTAAAAGATGAGTTGTGAACTGTTTTATTACAGTGAACTGAATTGTTTATCAAAGTGTGGACTCAAATTTGCTATTGCATTATGCTTCTTTAATTTTTGCTTTTTTGAGTATATTTTGGAAGCATGGACCTTTTTCATTCAATCCATTTACCATTATTCTTTTTAATGTCTGAATTATCCCAAAATTGGTTAGTGTGAGTCCTTCCAAGGGGGCTTCTCTGTCCTTTGGATGTGAATCCATTTACCTTTGAGCTTTCTTGTTTCTTAGGATAACAAATTGTCCTAGTCTCACCTTGTACCTTTCCTGCCCCACATCAGGAAATTAATAATTTCACCAAGAAGACTTGTTTTCTTTTATTATATAGAGACCAAGATCTGGTATCTGATGTTAAGCATGTTTATTGTTACTGAGATACTGTTGCTCTTAGGCTCTATTAGTGTACAGAGTTTAGAAATATACACAAACAGTTGCCCACACATATATATATATATTATTTAATCATGAGTTAATACTGATACTAAAAGACCTCCAGAGGAAAAATTAATGTCCAGGAAAATTAAAATTTAACATTGCACAACTTTTTACCTTTAAAATTTTATATTTGCATCTGTTTTCTCCAACAGTAAAAATCTTAATTCTTTAATATTAATGCATATTGTTTGCTTTATCCTATGATATGTATAAATAGTGTCAGGATCACAATACTATTATTACAACTAATAGTAAGCCCACTAAATGAAGTTTACTATTTCTTTGATTTTTTTTTTTTGCCTTTAGAATATATCTGACAATGAATATTCAGAGTGTTGTATTAAAAAACTTATTTGAATTTTTTTTGGTGTGGTTTCGTCATCAATCTAATATCCATCTGGATTTATATATTATTGTTTCTATTCAGTTTTAATGTTTGCTTTCCCATTTTTGATTTAATTTTGTTTTTCAAAGTAGAACATTTACAAATTCCAGAAATGAAGTCATGTTTTCATTTTAATCCCCTACATCCAATTCTCACCCACCCCAAAGAGGTTACTTTTGTTTCTGATCTATCATTGTTTTTTCTTTTTTTTTTTTTTGCAAAAATAAACACCTGTGTGTGTATTTACATATTTATTTCCCTTTTGTTCTTATACAGAAGGCTGTCTACTATATACACTCTTTTAACCTTGCTTTCTTTCTTTAGTAACAACATATCTTGAACATTGCTCTATGTAAGTTCTTAGAGAGATTTCATTTCATTTCATGGCTGTGTGATAAGTACTCCATTGTACAGATTTACCATGGTTTATTTACCAATCTACTACAAATGAGAAAATGGACTGTTTTTGAAGAAACCAGGGAGAAATTGTATATTCATCCTTTAACTATCTCTGTTATTCATCTCTACTTTCCTTTGAGGTAGATTCCTAACTAAACTTATCTTTTGTTCAATTGCTCTTTTAATTCTGCTTGGGTTATACCTCTTTATTTAAAAATCAGATATGTCTGTCTGTTGCTTCCATGTACTAGTTATGCAATCTCAATTAAGTTTGTAAGCCTCAGGTTTCCCATTGATTGAATGAGGATTATAATTGTACTTACCTCATGAGAGTTGTATGAAATTTAAATGAGATAATTCATGCAAAGAGCTTAGCAAAGTACATGTAATTTATTAATACATATCAATGATTGTTACTTATTACCCAATAAGTCTTGTATTAGCCATGATGACATTCAACCTACATTTCCAAATCGGTTTACTCGTATGTTGTAAATGTCTCTTTACTTCTCTCTTTGTATTTTTATATATGCCTTCAATGCCTCTTACTGATATTACCATCTTGTGTTTGCCATCTTCATTTCTCTAAATTTCAGGTAGCCTTTCAGATTAATTTAAATTCTCATATTTCTTTGGTATCCTACCTTTCAGATTAATTTAATTTTCATATTTTTTTGATCATCCTACTTAGGAATTATCTCAATATCAGTTAAAGTAGCATATCACTTAGATACTGCTGATCATGTTTTGTATTTTTCATTTACTCCAATCCAGAGTACTTTTTACTATATTTTGTGAGCTCCTTTATACAAGGGATCTTGACAATCTTTCCTTGTATCTTAGCATCTCATCTCTAGCACGGACTAATGTACAGTAAGGATAGTAATAAATACTAACTGGGTAAACACTGAAAAATAAATGTATAATTATGTCTTATCTTTTAAAAATACAACTAATAAATCACAATTTGGCATTTAATATTTCAGTGTACTGTTGGTACAAAATATACATTTCACAAGTATGCTTAAGTCACATGTGCTAGTGCATATGACCAAATTATAAACTCTTCTTAAACATACATATATATATATATGCTGTGTTTTCTAATTGTTTAATGCTGTAAGAGTTGACATGATAGATTTATCTTTAGCCAACAAGTACAAACATTACAAGTAGTTGTTCTATTATTTGTTCTAATTCATACAGATTTTATTCCTTCAAAAGATTTGTTGTGCCTTTGCTACACATTTTGCTCAAGAAAACATGGATATTACAAATCAGGATAATAACCTTTAATCATAATTACAATTTCAGGACTATGTCAAAGCTGGTGGCATTCTTCAGGAGGATATTTCTGAAGCTTGTCTAATTTTAGGAGTTAAAAGACCTCCAGAGGAAAAATTAATGTCCAGGAAGACTTATGCATTTTTCTCCCACACAATAAAAGCTCAGGAGGCCAATATGGGCTTGTTGGATGAGATTCTAAAACAGGTAATTAGTGATTAATATTTATAAATATTAATGTAGAAAAATAATATTTTTTACTTTTAACCCCCAAATGGAGTTTTAGTCTTCTTTTCTTCTTTAGTTTAAGAGAAACATTGCATTCCTTTTATATTCTGAAATGGAAAGAATGATAAAAGCTCTTACCCTAAACAATTTACCAATTTATAAGGTCAATTGGCCATATACTATCAAATAGAATTTTAGAACTGAAAATAACCTCAGGGATCATATAATCTACTACCTTGTTTTTCAGATGGGATTTTTTTTTGAGATGGAGTCTTGCTCTGTCATCCAGGCTGGAGTGCAGTGGCACAATCTTGGCTCACTGCAACCTCCGCCTCCCAGGTTCAGGTGATTCTCCTGCCTCAGCCTCCTGAGGAGCTGGGACTACAGGCGCCAGCCAACACGCCCAGCTAATTTTTTGTATTTTTAGTAGAGATGGGGTTTCACTGTGTTAGCCAGGATCGTCTCAATCTCCTGACCTCGTGATCCGCCCACCTCAGCCTTCCAAAGTGCTGGGATTACAGGCATGAGCCACCGTGCCTGGCTGAGACAATTTTTACATTTATTCACATTCATAAGGGAAAATGCATTTTTGAGATAGAAATACTATGAAAAAAACTAGCAGCTGTTTAAAACACAAGATATTCATTTAACAAATATCTATTCAGTGCTGATGCTGTGTCTGACACTGTTTGTTCCAAGGAAAGAGCCAAAGAGTAAAGTATCTTTATTTTCACAAAGCTTACATTCTAGTGGGAGGAGACAGATAATCAATGAATAAGACATCTAATATCCACTTGGGAATATGTGTGATGAAGATAAATATAATATTGAAGGAGAAAAGGAGTCCTGGGCACTGGGAGGTGATGATGCTATTTTAAGTAGGATGGTCAGGGAGGACCCCATTGTGAAAGTGGCATTGAGCAACAATCTAAAGGAGGTGAAGGACCGAGCCAATACATCTGAAATGAGTCTTTTAAGCAGACAGATTCGAGATTGAGTGTGGGGTTAGAGTACACCATGTTCAGAAATGCTTATTTTGTCTCTTGTGTCAACAATGGTTGGAGGTGGGAGGAGGAGAGCAACATTACTAAGAAGGCTGCTAACCTAGGCTGGTCTAGACTGCAAGTCACAAGTGATGGTGGCCTGCACCTGGAAGAAATGGTGGAAGAGAAAGTTGTGAAATGTGGACAAATCTTGGATATGTTTTAGAGGTGGATCCTACAGGATTCACTGATGACATAAAGGTGGAATATGAAAAAAGGAGAGCAGTCAGGAATGACTCCAGGTTTTGGCCTGAGCTACTTGAAGCAATTGTCATGGAATGACATGATGCCATTACAAGAGAAAAAGGCTTCGGTGGGCAAATCAAGAGTTGAGTTTAGGGTCTGCCAAGTTTAATATTCTATTAGACATTCAAAGGGATAATCTAAGAGGGCTGTTGGATATGAGTCTGAAGCTCAGGAGGGCGGCTTCTCCTGACATACATTTTGTAGTTGTGAGAGACCAGGTGGTGTCTAGAGCCACGAGACTGGATGAGCCTAGGAAGGGAGTATAGAAAAAGAAGTCTAAGGTCCACATCTTCCAGATGTTAGAGCTAGGATCCGAGATTAGGGCAGAGGATTGGAGGGTTCATAAACAGTAAAAGCAATGGAAAATACCTATTATATAGGAGTGTAAAATACTTCCAATTGATTCCAAATACAGTAGACCAGGGTGACAGTTAATTTGTAGTATTTCTAAAGAATAAGTTCAAAAGTAATTAATGGAAATAATACTATAGGAAGAATGTTCCACTTTAAGCAAATAAAGTAATTATAAATTACTTTAGGAACTTTTTTTGTTATTTTAACTTTTGTTCATTATAAGAAAATTAAAAAAAACTGACCTAACAGGGCTGCTTTTGGGCAGCATTTTGTAACCAATTACTTGGAGTTGGAAGAATGATAAACATTCTTAAATTCATGAACATAATAAAAATTATATGATCTTTGAGGAAATAAAATTACTGTTTAAAATAGTGTATAATTACAATACACTAATATGTTTTAAGCATGAATTACTAATGCTTTCCTGAGAGAGGAAAGGTTTTCAAGGAAAGAGGAAGAATATGTTTTTAGTGAAGGCAAGGAAGATAAATGACATAAAGGTGGAATATGAGAAAAGGAGAGGAGTCAGGAATCACTCCAGGTTTTATCTTGAGCTACTCGAAGGAATCCTGTACTACTTTTAATAGGAAGGTTACCTGTAAAAGGAAGGAGAGGGAAAAAGAAAAAGAGAGGAGAAGGAGGAGGAGAGAGAAAAATATCTGTGCTTGGACTTGAGAGAGAGTGTTATTTCCCAGGTTGAAAGAGAGTGTTATTTTCCAGGTAGAAGAGACCTGAGTGTACTTAGAATGGTTGAGAAAGAATGTAAAGATGGATGATGCAAGAAAGAGGTAATAGTTCAAGAAGAGTGGTCTTGGAGGACATGAGAGAAGCTGGGATCTAGGTCACAGAGATTCGTCTCAAAATGGATCTGTTTTATTTGACCAGAAGGAAGGATGTAAGGATGAGAGGGGCTTTAGACATGTTTATAGATGGTGCTGGGTGGGTCGGGGCAGAAAGGTAAAGGAAATTCTACCTTTATTATTTCATTGCTTACCATCAAGGGGGGTATAGCACCTGCTACAAACATTTTTTCATTTCTAATTACAAGCCTACCATTGGTTTGCTACCTGGCGTTTTCTAAATATTTCATGGTATACCTGATGGTAGCTTCTGTTAGCAAGTTAAGGTGTATTTCAGAGGAAAAAATGTGAAATATTTACTTGCTCATATATGTCTTTACTTGTTAAAATTAAGCTTAATGGGTCCAGTTGAAATTTTTTTATCCTCTTTTCAGGAAATTCGCCTTATTGATTATGAGAAAATGGTGGATCATAGAGGAGTACGGGTAGTGGCATTTGGACAGTGGGCTGGTGTGGCAGGTAAGTATGCCAGGGCTTACATCACCCACTTCCTAAATTGGCTTGGGGAATAACTGTGAGTTTTCTCTTTTCTGCGGCAAGGGGATAGGAGTGTTTATTTCCATGGAAAAAATTAAAATGAAGGTATGCTGAAGGATGATGAATACAAGTGGAATAAAGTATGAAGATAAATGGTTAAAAATATTTTATTGCAAAAATTCAAAGGAAAAAGCAGGGAGAAGGATAACAACTACAAACAAGCTCTGATTTTTAGGTAGTTCCTTTCGAAAGGCTGGAAGGAGATACCAGTTCGGTAATGAGACATTGAGAATTAGAAGATAGGGAGAAATAGAAAGGGAAAAAAGGTCCAGGGGCAGGAATTTTGTCCAGTTAATTCTTTGAACCTTGTTTGGTTAAGAAACACCACAATATGTTGTAGCTCTGTTTCAGATCAGACTACTTGCAGGTCTAATAAGGAAGGTCATGACTTCGGTACTATTTGTTTGACCTTGTTATATAAAAATAGAAGATTCCTTATGTAAAAAATAAAAGTAGAGGTTCCTCTTCAAAGACTTTCGTCCCCATTTAATTAGGAATAAATAGTAACTTCTCTTAGGAGCAAAATTTATTCAGACCTGTGCTTCTAAATATTTGCCCCGGCAGGCTTATACTGGTCCAAGCAAGCATTAAGTCATAGCCTGTTCCTCTTCCTTATTTAAAAGTGTTTTTACCTTTCTCAGCATTCCACAAGTTACTTCCTCCTTCCTTTGTTCTCCTCTACCTTTGCCTCTTTTAAAAAGTTCTAAGTTGCTAGCCAATAGGAACGAATACAGAACGTGAGGTCTCGTTCCAGCCAATGGAAACCGGACACAGCAGTAGGGTGGACGTGTCAGGTTATAAATGACCCTGTCTCTTTTGTTCGGTGTATTCTTGTGGCAAAACTGCTGGTGAGTGTACCCTTTCTGCAGGAAGTAAAAATGGCCTTACTAAATAAATTAAATTTATGTTCATGTGCTGTTTCTTTACGGCACCAGGGAACAAGCATTTCAAACACTTATTATGGCTTATGTCATTCTGCTTATTATTAATATTATACTTGCATCCACCTGCTTTTTAAATAATAAATCTAAGCAAAAATGTGAAATTCAAAAAATTCTTTTACTTAAAACCAATTCAGGCAGGGTATGGTGGCTCATGCCTGTAATCCCAGCACTTTGGGAGGCTGAGGCGGGCGGATCATTTGAGGTCAGGAGTTTGAGACCAGCCTGACCAATATGGTGAAATCCTGTCTCTACTAAAAATACAAAAATTAGCCGTTGGTGGTGCATGTCTATAATCCCAGCTACTCAGAAGGTTGAGGCATGAGAATTGCTTGAACCCAGGAGGCAGAGTTTGCAGTGAGCCGAGATCACGCCACTGCACTCCAGTTTAGGCAACAGAGCAAAACTCTGTCTTTAAAAAGAAACAAACAAATTCATTGTTTTTATTCACTCACCTCATATCTTTCCTCACCCAACACCCAAATCAGCTCTATTAAACTAACAGAAAATTAAATTTCTTAGTATAAAAGCAGTAATAGAGAGACCTCTGATGACTATGATTCCTAGGGCCTTTCAGGACTCATCCAGATGAGGGTTTTATTTACCTAGACAGAATTAATACATTGGAATTAAGTTGATTTATTTAGAAGTCACCATATTCAGAAGTAGGACCACATCCATGAATAGGATGTGGTTCATGTTCTTAGAGAAGCATTCAAGCAAGTAAACACAAATACAATGCTAGTGCTAATTGCTATAAGAAAGGTATTTGAGACTGGGTGCGGTGGCTCACACCTGTAATCCCAGCACTTCGGGAGGCCGAAGAGGGCAGATCACCTGAGGTCCAGAGTTCAAGACCAGCCTGGCCAACATGGTGAAACCCCTTCTCTACTAAAAATACAAAAATTAGCCGGGCGTGATGGTGGGTGCCTGTAATCCCAGCTACTTGGGAGGCTAAAGCAGGAGAATTGCTTGAATCTGAGAGGTGGAGGTTGCAGGAAGCCGAGATCATGCCATTGCACTCCAGCCTGGGAGACAGAATAAGACTCCATCTCAAAAAACAAACAAACAAACACACAAAAAACAAACAAAACAAAAGGTATTTGAACTTGGCTGTTGCAAAAGCTTTCTTTTAAAAAGTGCCTTTGAAGGTGAGGTCTGAAGAATGATTAAAAATGATTCAGGGAAGTAGGAGAGGACAGTACAAGTGTGCAAAGCTCAAAGTGAAGAGGGGGAAAATAATAGTTTTGAGGAATAGAAATAAGTTCAGTATAATTAGAGTGTATATGGAAATAACTATATGTGGTTCTTATAAGTATTTAGAAGGTGGAATTCACAGGATGTGGTGACTGATTGGATGTAGGAGTGAGGGGGTGAGGGAGACACTTTAAAGATGACATGCAGGTTACCAACTTGGACAGTGATTCAGTTCTTTCAGTACCCACAGGAATGGAGGAAGAATTTGGAGGAAGGGAGTAAATGAGTTCTGTATAGGACAATGTATTAGTAGATTACATACTAAGTTGCTATAATGGAGACTCCACAAAACAGAGCTTACATAAGCTAGAAGTCCAGGAGTGAGAAGTCTAGGGATGGTGGAATGAGAGGAAGCCTTTGCTATTGTCAACACTTGGCTTTCATTTCTAAGGTGACCCTTCAGGTTGCTATTTTCCAGTCAGTGGAAAGGGGAGAAAGGAAGTAAGGTAAATAGCTTCCTTTCTAAGGATGTGACCAAGAATCTGAACATATTATTTCTGCTCATACCCATTGGTCAAAATTGACTGAGAAATGTAATCTATAACTGGGCAACTATGTCTGCTGCAAAAACCATGTGCCCTCCATCTGTGAAAGATTAACTGAGGTCAGACTTACTATCCTGTCATTAACCAACTAGAAAAATTGAATGAGATATAGAAAACAATGTTATCAGACATTGGACCACAGGCAGTACAGACTTGTGATCCTTGATAGATGGAAAATAGATGAGGTGAGCTCTATGTTCACCCTGGCTTTCTGTCTGGAGAAATTATCAGATGGTATGAATATGGAAATGTGACACAAAGCTTGGTGAACTCAATAAGCTGAGGAGATAGGAGTTGGGGAGCCTGAGTTGGCTGGAATTGGCAACACATAGTACCAAACAGTGAGGAGCTATGCAGAAATGGTGTTCCAGAAATATGCTTAGGGGTCTTGCTAAGTGGAGGATGAAAATTCATGAGACTGCCTTAGGAACAATTTGTGGAAAAGAACAATTGCCAGGGAACTCTATGGAAAACTGTTCTCAGAGTTTGTCCCATCAGCCAGAGTGGAGAGACTTAACTGAATGTATAAGGCTTTCAGGGATGCCCTGAAGTGTGTGGCTAAACCAGCTCTTAATAAAGCCTACTCTACATTCATTCCTATAAAAGCTTAAAAATGAGCCTAATGTCTACTTTGAGAGAGATGCAATTAGCACACAAGCAGATTAAAACAGCTATAATAAATGTTCAGTATGTTCACGTTTTAAATGGAAACATAAACAAAATCAGGAGAGAAATAGAGGAAATCAGTCCATCTACCTATCAATCAATAGATACCACGGACGAAAATCTATACATAAGCAGAGGATTAGAGAACATATATAGATTTTCTTCTGTAGTGTCTATTGATTGATAGATACATGGTGGATAGATTGATTTCCTCTACTCCTCATTTTGTTTGTGTTTTCATTTAATCCTTGAGCACATTGACCAGCATCTCTGTCATTTCTTGTTTCTGGGATTGTTTCCGTTGTTGATTATCTCCAGGTTAATGTTCCATTGCAAGACTCATAATTTTTTACTGAATGCCAGACAGTGTTCATTTTACATTGTTGATAGATTTTGTTGTTTTCCTTTTAGGAGCATTGGGCTTTGTTCTAATAGGCAATTGTTTGTGGATTACATTGATTCTCTTAAGGCTTGTTTTCCTTTCACCTGCCTCTCTTCCTTCTGGGACTCCAAATACACACGTATTAGAGCATTTGTTCACCACCTGTCACTTAAATTCTGTTTTTTTTTCTCAGTCTTTTTCTCTCTTTATGCTCCATTTTGTTTAATTTCTACTGCAGTGAGGAAGGAAGAAAGTAAAGAAATCATGACCGGAACATTCCCATATCTTGATAAAAATTATAAATACACAGATAAGTGAAGTTCAATAAACCCCAAGCCAAAAATAGAAATAAAAAATCACAAAGAAAATGACAGTAGAACCATCATAATTGTCTTGCTAAAAAATAATGATAAAAACATTGAAAATAAATGGGAAAAGGGAACCATATACATAGAATAACTACGATAAACATCAAACTTCTAATCAGAAACAGTTTAAGCTAGCAGAAAGTGGAGCAACATCTTTAAAGTGCTGAAAGAAAACAAACAACTTATAATTTTATGCACAGTACAATATATTTCCAAAGACAATATCTTTTCAATATCTTTCTGGACATCTTTCTAGAAAATGAAGATTAAACACAGATTTTCTGGTCAAATGAAAGCTGATAAAATTCACTGACATAGAAGTATTTAAAAAATTTCTCAAGCAGAAGGAAATGAAGTCAGTTGAAAACATGGATTGAATTAAAGGAATAAAGAACACTACAAATGGTAGAATGTAAACAAACATAAAAAACATCATATCTTATTTTAAAACTTTTCTTTAGGGCTGGGCCCAGTCGCTCACTTTGGGAGTCCAGGGCAGGCTGATTGCTTGAGCTCAGGAGTTTGAGACCAGCCTGGGCACACGATGAAGTCCCATCTCTACAAAAAAATGCAAGAGTAGCTGGGCTTGGCGGTGCGTGCCTGTCATCCCAGCTGCTTGGGAGGCTGAGGTGGGAGGATTGCTTGAGTCTGGGAGGTTGAGGCTGCAGTGAACTGTGTTCATGCCACTACACTCCAGCCTGGGTGACAAAGTGAGTTAACTGTCTCAAAAAACAAAAAAATTCTTTAAAAGATAATTGATAGTTTCAAATGAAACAATGTATTGTGATATTCATAACACAGGTAGAAATAAAACTTATGTCACCAATAATGATGGACAGGTGAAAAGGAATAGAACCATACTTTTGTAACAAGTTTATTTTATTATACCGGAAGTAGTATAATATTACTTGATAGTTGACTATAATAAGATAAAGATGCATATGGTAACCTAGAACAATGATTAAAAATAAAACAAGGCTCTAAAGCTAATAAGCCAATAATGGATGTAAAATTCATACTAAGAAATACACAGTTCAAGCAAAAATACAAGAAAAAGGGCATTAAAAAAACAAAGTACAAATGAAATAAGAACACAAACAGCAACATGGTAGCTTTAAATTTAGCTATATCAATAGTTACATTAATGGCCTAAAAACTCCCAGATAGGCTATAGAATGAGTCACAAAACAATTTTTGATAAATTTGAAAGTCTGAAATCATACAGTATGTATTCTGACTGTAATAGAATTGACCTAGAAGTTTTTATAGAAAGATATTTGGAAATTTTCCAAATATTTGGGAGATATTCAATGTAATTTTGAATAACTGATGGATTAAGAAGAAATCACAGGAAAATTAGAAGATATTTTTAAGAGAATAAAAATTTAAAGTATAGCTTATCAAAATGTGTGGGGTATAAAGTAGCAATTAGAAAGAAATTTACAGCATTTAATTCTTTTATTAGAGAAGACAGTTTTTAAATTAATAATTTGTGCTTCCACTATAAGAAGCTAGAAAATCAAAGAGAAATTAAATCAAACGCAAGTAGAAAGAAATAAATAATAAAGATACAGAGAAAATTAATCAAACTAAAACAGGAAAAGAATAGAGAAAATCAATGAAACCAAAACCTGGTTCTCTGAAAAATATCAATAAAATTAATTAACATCTAGGTAGACTGATAGAAAAAGAGAGAAGACAATATTTACTAAGAAGGAATACTAGGGGGCCATCACTATATCTTTTAAATATTAAAAGGATAAAGGAATATTATGAATAGGTCAATGAATTTGGCAACCTTGATGAACTAGATAAATTTTCAAAATGTACAAATTACCAAAATCAGCTCAAGAAGAAATTGAAAACTTAAGTATCAAGGTACAAACTAAATTCCACTAATAGGCATTTATTAAGAGAAATACAATATTTTATACAAAGAATTTTTTTATAGCAACTCCATTTATAATAGCCTGGAAACAACCCAAATGATGAGCAGAGAAATCAACTGAAATAGAAATGGGAAACTCTTCAACAATAAAAGACTATACTGATACACACAAAATATGTATGAATCTCAAAAACACGATGCTGAGTAAAAGCCGACACATTGTAAAAGAGTACAATTGACCCTTGAACAACACGAGTTTGAACTGCATGAGTCCGCTTATATTCATGGGATGCAAAATCCACCTTTATCGGGGGCCACCTTTTCATACAGGCAGGTGTCACAGAACTGACTGTGGGACTTGAGTATGCCCAGATATTAACATGTGTAGGGGTCTTAGAACGAACCCCCTGCATATACTGAGAGACGACTGCTTAAAATTTTGTTTATATGTAACTTTAGAAGAACTTAATCTATAGAGAGAGAAAGATCAGTAGTTGTGGAGACCAGGAGTTGGTGAAATACTCTGTATCTTGATCATGGCGGTAATAACACAGATGTGTATATTTGTTAACAGTTACCAAACTATACATTTTAAATGGGTGCATTATGTTGTATGTAAACTATTTCTTTATAAGTTGACTTTAGAAAAACGACAAAAGAAAATTTGGTAGGGATGTTTGTTGGGGGTGAGGATGGGGAATGGAGGAGCATGGAAAGTTCTTTCCTAAAAAGAATAAGGAAAGAATGGATGCTCAGGTCTTTGCTGCAGGGATGCTGAATTTTAGCTTTCTGAAGAACATCCAAATTGAGACAGACATAAAAAGGTGGCTGGCTAAGTTTTGAAATCAAAAGAAAGATCTGTTTTCAAGAGAGAGACTTGAAGTCGTCTGCATATAGATAGTACTTGAAATTTAGGACTAGATGAGATTACCTAAGGGACAAATGTAGATATGGAAGAAAATAGAGCCCAGGACATAATCCTGAGGGTGAATAATATAAAAGGAATTGCCACAGGAAGAGGGTCCTACAGAAACGTAGGATTAAAAATTTCAAGTTGGGATGCTGAGGGGCACTCTTCGTTTCAACAAAGAAGAGGTCTGCATTGCCAAGTACTTCTGATCTGATCTACAATGTGTTCACTGAGTTTAGCTATTTAGGTCACTAAATAGATGATGGGAGCCCTAGGGTTAATGGTGACTTTGTTTTTGTTTGTTCATTTGTTTTTGTTATGGGAGGCATGGGAGCATGTTTAAATGCTGATAAGAATGAAGCAATAGGGAAGGATAGTGAGGGGAGTAACTCAGTAATAAATTCCTTGGGTGACAGGAAGGGATGGGATCCGGAGCCAAGGTGGAGAGATTAGCCTTAGATAAGAAGAGAAACATTCTTCCTATTTTATCAGGATTGAAGGTGGAAGGAATAGGTGGGGATGCATTTGGGTTAGTGCATTTGATGGCAGAAAGTTGAGAGGATGGATACAATCTACTGAGGCCTCTTCTAAATCTGAGATGCATGATCTGTGCTTCTGCAGGGCACCATGCAGATTGGAGAACGAGCAGAGAGAACAGCTTAAATTCTTCCCAACTAATAGTCTTTCTATTGGTCTGATTCTGTAACAGGAATGATCAACATTTTACATGGAATGGGTTTAAGGCTCCTTGCTTTGGGACATCACACACCTTTTATGGTAAGAGATGTTTATTTTGCTAATTTTTTTGAAAACACATCTCACACCTTAATAATAAAAAAAATGCTGAGCTGGTGGACTAACTTGAGTTGTGTATGTTTGTTTTCAGCACATTGGCATGGCTCATAACTACAGGAATAGCAGTCAGGCTGTGCAAGCTGTCCGTGATGCTGGCTATGAAATATCTTTGGGTTTGATGCCTAAGTCAATAGGACCCTTAACATTTGTGTTCACAGGAACTGGTAATGTTTCTAAGGTAACTTTTACCTGACTTCCTTTTGTAAAACAATCCAAAACTTTGAAACTAACCCAAATGATGTGGGCAGCCATTTTGTGGGTATTTCAAATGGACTGGAGATTCTATTTTAGGCACTTTTCTTACCAATGTATTTTTCTCATAGTGAAAAGTAGTAATGATCTAAATATGTGTGTATGTGTGTATGTGTATGTGTGTGTATATATATGTGTGTGTGTATGTGTAAGTGTATATGTGTGTGTATATCTATACACATACATACACACATATAGCTTTTAGTTTATTGCAAGCTATCGGAGTCTTGGAATACTTTTTCTTCGTTTCTTTTTCTTTTTTTAAAAGAGATAATTCAGCCAGACATGGTGGCTCACACCTATAATCCCAGTGCTTTGGGAGGCCGAGGCAGGCGGATCACCTGAGGTCAGGAGTTCGAGGCCAACCTGGCCAATATGGTAAAACACCACCTATACCAAAAATACAAAAATTAGCCAGGCATGGTGACGCACACCCATAATCCCGGCTACTAAGGAGGCTGAAGCAGGAGAATCGCTTGAACCCGGGAGGCAAATGTTGCAGTGAGCCGAGATTGCACCACTGCACTCCAGCCTGGGTGACAGAGCGAGACTCTGTCTCAAAATAAAATAAATAAATAAATAAATAAATAAATAGATAAATAAATAAATAAGATAATTCATTGTTAACAGTGTAAAGGTCTGTTCTGAGGGTGATCTGTTTTACCTCCATCACCAAAATGTCCACGAGTTTGAAAGTGACCTCACGATAACCATTTTTTAAGACTACTTGGAGTTTTGCAAACAAGATGTTAGGAAGATTCATTTAAGACTGGAATTCATGCTTTCTTCCTTCTCTGGTGGTTTTAAGAATGTGTTTGTAATCTCCTATAGAAACTTGTCATTGTAAAATAATTCCTGCTTCAAAGAAAATATTTTACAAATAGGATATCATTCTTATTATATTGTGAGGTAAGCATCTGATTATTTCTTTTGTAGGAAATATAATTTCCCCATTTGAAATAATTTCTGCAATGGATCTAAAATAAATGGAAATATTTTTCCCTCATTTCTAAACACTCTTATCGATACTCTGAGTAGCTTAAGTAAAAAAGAAAAAAATTAAAGCCCTTTCTAAGTGTGCTGTTCTAACAGGAATAAAAGCTAGCTAGCAGGCTGGTTGTAAGCAACTCATCTGTATTTCTGTGTTGCAGTCCTGGTTGTAGGGAAGGCAAGTGGAGCTATGTAATTGTTGGGAAAATGATCAGATCTTTGCAGAAAACCATGTTGGTTCTTTTTCTATTGATTTTTGGATTTTTACTCATGTGTTATTTGTAGGGAGCCCAAGCAATCTTTAATGAGCTACCTTGTGAATATGTGGAGCCCCATGAATTAAAAGAAGTTTCCCAAACTGGAGGTAAGGGACAGGAGATGACTAACTTTTAATGTTTTTAACAGTCTATGTTATAATATTTTATCACCATAAATTTTTATTATTTGTCACCCACTTTACTAATTTCTTTCTCCTTTTCAAGACCTCAGAAAAGTGTATGGGACGGTGTTAAGTCGTCATCATCATCTTGTCAGGAAAACAGATGCTGTGTATGATCCTGCAGAGTATGACAAACATCCGGAGCGCTACATAAGTCGTTTTAATACTGATGTGAGTATCATATTCACCTTTTAAGTTGGTTGCTTATGATACAGTGTAGGTAGGCTATTTTCAAGGAGAGAAATTATGAATTGTACAATGGCTTTCAGTTTTCCTGTTGTGAGTCCTTTGGGTATCATGATTTGGCCTTTGGAGCTATCATCTTTTATGGTATTTGGAGTAGTCTCGCTTAGTGCTTTTGGTGGTTTCTGTGGATACACTCTTTGTTTCACTGTCTCCATTTCTGCTTCAGGTCTACATGTGCCCAATAGCGCTAAGCCATTTCCTGTGCGTTACTGTTTTCTGTATTTATCCTGGACTAGTTAGCACTGTGGGCAGAGCATAATGCCTATGACGTTTGGTCTCAACATGGCCGCAAATTGCAACCATAATCTCAGCCAGCAATCTTGAAATGCATGCCATTGATTATCAGGGTGAGGGTTAAATAGCGTTCCTATATAAGTGCAGACCATCCCCACTGAATGAAAAAGCTATTACACTTACAAATCAAATCCTTCGATGCGACACACATCTTATAAGAAATAAAATATATTTGTGTGCTCTATAGTCATTGGCCATGCAACATTCTTCCCCCAGATAAACTAACAAACCAAAAAATACATAAAACAAAAAATGCATGCATTTATTGTGAAAAAGAATGCTTTAAATAATTTTAAATATGTTTGACCAACATAACATTTTCAGATTCTGGTATGAAGTTTAGCCCTTATATCGTGCAGGGCATGTTAGGGAAAAGAATTCTTACCTTCAGCTTGAGATGTTTGAAGAAGAAAAATTATGAACATAGTTTCAAACTGAAAAATTTGGAATCTAAGAAATCTTTATTCCTTCTCATTTCCCCAATCACAGAAGTATTGGTGATTGGATGCATCCTAAAACTGATACTGACCTAGTTGCCATGTATGCATGTATGTAGCACATTGCTCCATAGAGCTTACAGATGTTATCCGATTTAATCTTCACAGCATTCCTTTGAGGAATGGGGTGCGTATTATCCCCATCTGGCAAGTAAGAAAAATAGAGCCCAGGGAAGTTGAGGTAGCATGATTTAGGTCATACCCTACTGATATTAGAGCTGGAAATATAATTTTAGGTCCACCGTTTTTTGTTTGTTTTGTTTTTGTCCTTTCATTTTTCTTCGGCATGCAATACATTATAGAATGAACACACTAATGTATTTATAGTCATATATTTCTCTATCATAGGGTAATTCTATACTGAAATCTGGGTGGCTATTTAATATCTTTGCCTCAAAAGATGGACACTGACATGGACAATAAGAAAATCAATTAGAAGTTACATTTAATTATTTCTCATAGAATTTACTGATAGCTTTCTTTCAGTATACTGTATTAAAATAGGCTATTTTCTATTTTCTTGAACCTGGAACTTGCATTACAGATTGCACCCTATACAACTTGCTTAATTAATGGAATCTACTGGGAACAAAACACTCCTCGCCTCCTAACCCGCCAAGATGCTCAGAGTCTCCTGGCTCCGGGCAAGTTCTCACCTGCTGGTGTGGAAGGCTGCCCTGCATTACCACACAAGTAAGGACTCTACTTCAGCAACGATAGTAGTTTTGACCAGCTGCTTCCATTATTAGAGGATCAAATATCACATATCAGAGGACTTGATTTCTAATGACTACTTCTCTGCCTTATCTTTCTTGACCTCTTGGCAGTACTCAACACTGTTAACCATCTCTCCTTTTTTTTTTAAAATTTTATTGTATATATTTATCTTTAGAGATGGGGTCTTGTTATGTTTCCCAGGCTGGTCTAAATCTCTGGACCCCAAGCAGACCTCCTGCCTTGGCTTCCCAAGGTACTGGGATTATAGGCATGAGCCACCATGCCCAGCCCACCTCCACTTCTTGAAACATTCTTCTTTTGTCTTCTGTGATGCCCCATGCAGCTCTGAAGCTATTTGCTCAGAGAAGTCTTCTCTTGTTTCTCCATTCTCATCTCTATCTCTAGTCTGTTACTCTGTTTTTTGTTTTGAAATTCCTCATTTATTTTCTCGTGTTTATGATTTTTCTCCCTCTTCCTAGAACTTAATCTCCTTGAGGATAGGGGGTCTCTTTCTCTTGGCCACAAGCACCTAGTACGTTGCCTGATATATAATAGGCATTGAAATAATTATTAAATATTGAATTAATTAATTAATATTTGTGGAAGAGTAAAAGATATGTCTGCTTTTCTAGGCATGTAACTGGCATCAAGTAAATGCCAAGGGAATGCTAGGAGCAACAACATCACCAGGGTTTAGAAGAAAGCAGAAGCATTGGGCGCAGCAAACCTTAAAGGGAGGAATGAGGAGAACAAGAATTCCAAGTGAAAGGATTGGTGCTTAATAAATATGGAGCTACCAAAGCATATTTAGGGTGCTGAATGTGTCAGTCTAGCTCTACATTGGTTCATGTATGCAAGTGGTAATTGGAGATTGGGCAGAAAAATTGTAGTCAACTTTTTGAATGCTGGACTGAAACTTTTGTTCGTAATTCTAGAGATTTATGTGTAACCACATGTAAAACTATACAGTACTAAGCAGGGTGGAGGTAGCATAATTGAACCTTTCTGAGTTATTTAGAGATAACTATGTTAACTTTAGTCTGTTAATGATTTCTCTAGGAAAGCAATTTTCTGCGTTTGTTTCCTTTTTTCTTTTCTTTCTTTCTTTCTTTTTTTTTTTTTTTTTGGAGACTAAAATTCATACTGGGAAGATTCTCTGTATCACAGAACAGTGCAGAGTCCTGAAGAATGAGCTATAGGAAAAAGACCCCAAAAGCCTGGAAAATATTTGGGATCCACATTGAAAATTGTTCCAAACTCCTTTTTTTTTAGTCTTGTTGGAGACTTCAGAATTTCATCCTCTCATCTAAGTATTGATGTTATTTTCAGACTCGTGGCAATATGTGACATTTCAGCTGACACAGGAGGGTCTATAGAGTTTATGACTGAGTGTACAACAATAGAGCATCCCTTTTGCATGTATGATGCAGACCAGCATATTATTCATGACAGGTGAGTTTGCTAAAGTTGTTAGATGATATTCCTCACTTAGTTACATTGATATACTACTCTAAAATTCTCAGTATTTTACATCTTTATGAAGTTATGAAAATTTGGAGAGATATACTCAAACATACTAAAATTTGGGGAAAAAAACATGCACATTTGAACACACACACATACACAAATATATTTAAATGTGAGATGGGTTGCTGAAGAAGGAAAACGTTTTGTTTGAAAAGTTTTGTTTATTTTCGCGTATACTTTTATACAAAATTACAAATGATAATGAAGCAAATATAGTGGAGTAGACATCTGGAAAAGTCAGAACTTACAAATAATGTTTTGTGCTTCTGAATAAACCACATTGCTGCTTTTAGTGTTGAAGGCTCGGGGATCCTGATGTGTTCCATTGACAATTTGCCGGCACAGCTCCCAATTGAAGCTACAGAATGCTTTGGAGACATGCTTTACCCTTATGTTGAAGAAATGGTAAGCAGACTGGTAATATCAGTAACAACTCTGTGGCTTTAAATTGAATAATTGAGTAATTCTGTGAATGTTCTGGTCTTCTGTATCTAAGAAATCTGCTGTAAAATGAAATGCCAGCCCTTCCCTGAAATACTTACTGATACTATTTTATTTGACATATTCTGCTTACTTGTCTCTTGGGGTATAGGATGATATCACTGCCTTCATGCTTAATTACAATTACATCTCTTTCCCATTATAGGTCTTTTATTAAGAATGTTCACCACGTGTGAGATAAAACATGCTTTATTTTTAATTTTTTGCCATCTATGTCAGTTCATATTGGGGCACTCTTATTGTGCCGTAATAACCAGGTCTGAAAAATTAGAAATATAGAACATTTTTATTGGGTTCTGGTCACTAATAGTTAAGTGACAGCTTATGTTGAGGTCATGTATTTTTCTTCTGTGATCATTGATTAGCTAATGAAATACCATGTTATCTAAATTCCATTTTCTTTATCAAAGAAAATTTTTCTTATTTCAGTTTTTATCCTAAGCATTCATAGCCTTCCTGCTTTATTTTTATTTCAGACTGTCTGCCTCTGCCAATGATTCCAATATAAAGAATGGCTCTTACTCTTTTCATCTATATCTTCCCTCATAAGCTCTTACACTAAAATAGAACAATAGTTAGTGGGGCAAGAATAAATGAAATTTCCAGTCTGTGATCCTCTTTTCTTTCAAATAGTATTCCATTTTGACCCTTTCTTTTTCCTATTGGAATATGTCAACAGGGAGATGTAGCAGGCTTGAGAAAATGCAGGCAGCAGGCACTGTCATGGTTAGACATGATATTGCACCTACTAGGTGCAGGAAGTGTTCAAAGTACTAAATATATTTTAATTTTAAGTACTCATGAAAACCGTATTAGGTAAATACCATCATTAAATCCATTTTACCATCATTAAATCCATTATAAAACAAATACAGAGAAGTTAAGGACGTGTTGCTGATACAGTCAGTGCTGGATCTGCAATGTGTCTGGAGTTGGTGCTGAGGCATTAAAGAAGCAGGAGAAGGAGAGTACAAATGCCAGGCTTTGCTGGAGATATCAACTTGCTTTATAACCTTGAGCAGGGCACTCACTTCCTTTCTGAGCCTCAGATATTTCATCTGTAACATGAGGTGGTTGTAATGAATACATAATCTTATTTTATTTTATTTTATTTTTTTGAGACAGATTCTCGCCCTGTTGCCCAGGCTGGAGTGCAGTGATGCAATTGCGGCTCACTGCAACCTCCACCTCCCAGGTTCAAGCGATTCTTCCTGCCTCAGCCTCCCGAGTAGCCAGGACCACAGGTGTGTGCCACCACGCCTGGCTAATTTTTGTAGTTTTTAGTAGAGATGGGGTTTCACCATGTTGGCCAGGCTGGTCTTGAACTCCTGACCTCGTGATCCACCCGCCTCGGCCTCCCAAAGTGCTGGTATTACAGGCGTGAGCCACCGCGCCCAGCCACGAATACATAATCTTAACAGTTTCTCTACTTCTAAAATTTTATAATGGTAAATGTTTAAGTGGCCAAACTGTATGTATATAAAAAATACAATAATATATTTACCAAGGTGTTTACCATTTTTGATGTTCTTCATTCATTTCCCTTTGGCATCATTTCCCTGCAGACTGAATAACTTAATTTATCACTTCTTACAGTACAGGTTTGCTGATGACAGATTCTCTTAGTTGTCCTTTATCTGAAAATGTCTTCATATTCTCTATTCTGCTAATCAGACATTTCTGTGCATTTTTAATTTCCGATGTTCTATTTTCAGTTCTAGAATTTCCATTGGGTTCTTTTTTAAAAATTTTGTTTTGGTATTTTCTCTTTTTCTGCAGAGAGTTTCTATCTTTTCATTAATTATGAGTGTATTTTTCGTTATTGCATGGAACATAGTTATAAAAACCACTTTACAATGTTCATCTCATACTTCCAACTTTCTGGGTCAATTTGTGGTTGAACTTTATTGATTGTCTTTTCCTTTGAGAATTGGTCATAGTCTTCTGGTTTTCATAGACTGAATAATTCTGGATTATGGCCTGGATGATGTGGATATTATGTACATGTATCAAATGCATTTTCTGTATTCATTGAGAAGATCATTTTTTCCTTTTCTCTGTTAATATGTGAATTGTGTCAATTGGTTTTCAAATATCAAACTAACTTCACAGTCTTAGGATAAATCCAACTTGGTTGTATGTTAACCTTTTATTTATGACTAAGTTCTGGTTGCTAAGAAATATACCAACATTTATTAATCTATTTTACCATTGGTAGACATTTGGGGTTGTGGAGATATATATATATATATATCTCCACATTATTTTGTTGAGTTTGCACATAGATTTATCTTGTTTAGGATTATTAACATCTATGTTCATTAGAGAGCTTAATCTATAACTTTATTTTATTATAAGGTCTTTGTCAGGTTTGGATATTAAGTTTATGTTGGCTTGAAAACAAGTTAGAGAGTATTTCCTTATTTTTGGTCTCAGGAACATTTTACATGAGATTAGTGTTAGTTCTACTTGATACAATTCATTAGCAAAACTATTTGGGTTGGTAGCATTTTTGTTTGTTTCTTTTTTTAGTTTTAAGGGTAAGTTTTAAAATTATAGATTACATTTTATTTAAAAACTTAAGAATGTTCAGATTTTTATTTTTCTTTGTCAATTTTGGTATGCTTATTTTCTAGGAATTTATATTTCATCTAAGTTGTAAACTTTATTGTCATTTTTTTTTTAGTAATAACCTTATTAACTCTTTAATAGATTCTGTAGTGATTTCTCTTTTTCCTGATGTTGGTTGGGTATGCCTTCTGTTTTTTCTTAATCTGTTTTACCTGGACTTGATCAATTTTATTAGTCATCGCAAAAAATCAGTTCAACTTTGGTGATCATCTCTATTTTATATCATTTTCTGTTTTCTTAATTTATAATCTTACCTATACTATATTCTTTATTTTACTTTATTGAGAGCTTAGTTAACCTTTCTTTTCATAACTTCTTGCAATAAGTGCTTAGGTAATTGTTTTCCTGTGTTTCTCTTTAGCAATATGTGCATTTTAAAGCCATTAGATTTACTTTGAGTACAGCCCATTTTTGATTGTATTATCTCTTGTTTTGTTCTTTGACTTTCTTGTATATTCTGAGTATTACTTCCTTGTGAGACGTATAGTTTGCAAATACTTTTTCCCATTCTGTTGTTTCTTCACTCAATTGATCTTTTGTTTGTTTGTTTTGCTGTGCAGAAGCTTTTTAGTTTGATGTAATTCCATTTGTCTGTTTTTGGGTTTTGTGCTTGTGCTTTTGAGTTCTTATCCAAAAAATTCTTAACCAGGTCAATGTAATGAAGCATTTCCCCTGTGTTTTTTTTTTCTTCTAGTAGTTTCATAGTTTTAGGTCTTCCATTTAAGTGTTTAATCCATTTTGAGTTGATTTGTTTATATGATGAGAAATAGGGGGTCTAGTTTTATTCTTCTGAATGTAGATATCCAATTTTCCCAGCACCATTTATTGAAGAGACTCTTCTTCCCTTAATGTTTGTTCTTGACACTTTTCTCCAAAACTGGTGGATATAGATGCATGGATTTCTTTCTGGGCTTGCTTTTCTGTTCCATTGGTTTATGTGTCTGCTGTTATGCCAGTACCATGCTGTTTTGGTTACTATAGCTTTGTAGTATATTTTGAAGTCAGGTAGTGTGATGCCTCCAGCTTCGTTCTTTTTGCTAAATATTGTGTGACGATTTGGGGTCTTTTGTGATTTCATACTAGTTTTAGGATTGTCTTTTCTATTTCTGTGAAGATTATCATTTTTTTTTTTTTTTTGGTAAGGATTGCCCTGAATTGGTAGATTGCTTTGGGTAGTATGGGCATTTTAACAATATAAATTCTTCCATTCCATGAACATGGGAATATCTTTACATTTGTTTTTGTTTTCTTCAATGTCTTTCATCAATGTTTTACAGTTTTTAGTATAGAGATCTTTCATTTCCTTGGTTAAATTTATTCTTATGCATCTTATTTTTGCTGTGGCTATTGGAAATGGGATTTTTTTTCAGATTGTTCACAGTTGGCATATAGAAATGCTACTAATTTTTGTATGTTGATTTTGCATTCTGCAATTTTACTAAATTTATCAGTTCCAACAGTGTTTTGATGGAGTCTTTAGGGTTTTCTATATATAAGATTTCGTCATCTTCAAACAAGGACAATTTGACTTCCTGCTTTCCAATTTGGGTACCTTTGTTTTCTTTTTTTTTGCCTAGTTACACTGACTAGAACATCCAGTACTATGTTGAATAGTAGCATCCTTTTCTTGTTCCATATCTTAGAGAAAAAGCTTTCAATTTTCCATGATCAGTATGATGTTAGCTGTGGGTCTGTCAAATATGGCTTTTATTATGTTGAGGTATGTACCCTGTATGCCAAATTTGATGAAAGTTTTTATCATAAGGTGATGTTGAATTTGTCAAATATTTTTTTCTGTTTCTGTTGGAATAATCATATGGTTTTTGTCCTTCATTCTGTCAATGTGATAAATTATGTTTATTAATTTGCATATGTTGAACCATTCTTGCACCCCTGGAATGAATCCCATTTATTATGGTGAATGCTCTTGTAAATATGCTGTTAAATTTGGTTTTCTAGTATTTTGTTGAAAATTTTTGTATCTATGTTCTTCAGGGATATTGGCCTGAAGTTTACTTTTTTTGTTACGTCCTTGTCTGATTTTGGTATCACAATAACACTGGCCTTATAGAATTAGTTTGGAAGAATTCCCTCCTCCTTGATATTCTGGAATAGTTTGAGAAGAATTGGTATTAAATCTTCTTTAAATGTTTGGTAGAGTTCAGTAGTGAAACCATCAGGCCCTGGGCTAGTCTTTGATGGGAGACTTTTTATTACTGATTCAATCTTGCTGCTTGTTATCGATTCGCCTATTCAGATTGTTTATTTTTTTCTGGTTCAATCTTGGTAGGTTGTATGTGTCCAGGAATTTGTTCATTTCTTCTAGGTTTTCCAAGTTTTTGGCATATCATTGTTCATAATGCTCTCTTATGATCCTTTGTATTTCTGTGGTATAAGTTGTAATGTCTCCTTTTTCATCTGTGTTTTTTTTTTTTTTTTTGAGTTGTGGGTGATTTGTTATGCAATAATGTTGCAGAAGCTAATACATACTTAAAAAAAACTTTTAGGTTCAGGGGTACATGTGCAGGTTTGTTCTATAGGTAAACTTGTGTCACGAGGGGTGGATGTGCAGATTATTTCATCACCAGGGTATTAAGCCTACTACCCAATAGTCATTTTTTGTGCTCCTCTCCCTTCTCCCTCAGGAAGGCCCCAGTGTGTGTTGTTCCCCTCTATGTGTCTATGTGTCCTCATCATTTAGCTCCTGCTTATAAGGGAGAGCATGCAGTATTTGGTTTTCTGTTCCTGCATTAATTTGCTAAGGATAATGGCTTCTAGCTCTATCCATGTTCCTGCAAAAGACATGATCTCATTCTTTTTTATGGCTTCATAGTATTCCATGGTGTACCACATGTTCTTTATACAGTCTATCATTTATAGGCATTTAGGTTGAGTCCATGTCTCTGCTATTTACAATAGCGCTCCAATGAGCACTCTTTACAACAGCATGTGCATGTGTATGTGTCCTTATGATAGAACATTTTATATTCCTTTGGGTATATTACCCAGTAATGGATTGCTGGGTTGAAGAGTAGTTCTGTTTTTAGCTCTTTGAGGAATTGCCACACTGCTTTCCACAATGGTTGAACTGATTTTTACTCCCACCAACAGTGTATAAGCATTCGTTTTTCTCCACAACCTCACCAGCATCTGTTATGTTTTGACCTTTTAGTAATATCCATTCTGACTAGTGTGAGACGGTATCTCATTGTGGTTTTGATTTGCATTTCTTTAATTATCAGTGATGTTGAATTTGTTTTCATATGCTTGTTGACTGCATGTATGTCTTCAATTGAAAAGTGTCTGTTCATGTCCTTTGCCCAGCTTTTAATGGGGTTGTTTGTTTTTTCTTGTAAATTTAAGTTTTTATAGAAGCTAGATATTAGACTTTTGTCAGATGCATAGTTTGCAAATATTTTCTCCCATTCTGTAGATTGTTTACTCTGTTCATAGTTTCTTTTGCTGTGCAAAACCCCCTTAGTTTAATTAGATCCCATTTGTTGCATTTGTTTTTGGTGTCTTCATCATGAAATCTTTGCTAGTTCCCATGTCCAGAATGGTTTTGCCTAGATCATCTTCCAGGGTTTTTATAATTTTGGGTTTTACATTTCATTCTTTAATCCACTTTGAGTTGATTTACACCATTTTATATGCTGTAAGGAAGTGATCCAGTTTTAATCTTCTGCATATAGCTAGCCAGTTATCCCAGCACCATTTATTAAACAGGGAGTCCTTTCCTCATTGTTTGTTTTTGTCAGCTTTGTTGAAGATCAGATGGTTGAAGATGTGTGGCCTTATTTTTGAGCTCTCTATTCTGTTTTATTGGTCTTTGTGTCTGGTTTTGTACGAGTCTTATGCTGTTTTGGTTACTGTAGCCCTGTAATATAGTTTGAAGTCAGGTAGCATGATACCTCCAGCTCTGTTTTTTTTTGTTTAGGATTGCCTTGGCTATTCTGCTTCTTTTTGGTTCCATATGAATTTTAAAATAGTTTCTTTCTAGTTCTATGAAGAATGTCATGGGTAATTTGATAAGAATAGCATTGAATCTATAAATTGCTTTGGGCAGTATGGCCATTTTAATAACATTGATTCCCCTTGAAAACTGGCAACAAGGATGCCCTCTTTTACCACTTGCATCCAACATAGTATTGGAAGTCCTGGCCAGAACAATCAGGCAAGAGAAAGAAATAAAAAGCATTCAAATAGGAAGAGAGGAAGTCAAATTATCCCTTTTTGCAGATGACATGATTCTATATCTAGACAACCCCCTAGTCTTAGCCCAAAAATTAAGCTGATAAACAATTTCAGCAAAGTTTCAGGATACAAAATCAACATACAAAAATCACTAGCATTTCAACACACCAACAACAGTCATCTAAAATTTTATTCATTTGAGTCTTTTCTCCTTAGGCAGACACAGGGTTTGTTGATTTTGTTTACCTTTTCAAACAAACTCTTTGTTTCATTGATCTTTTATATTTTTTAAGTCTCTATTTTGTTTATGTCTTCTCTAACCATCATTATTTCTTTGTGTCTACTAATTTTGGGTTCAGTTTGTTCCTGTTTTTCTTGGTCCTTGAGGTGCAACATTGGGTTATCTGAGATCTTTGTTCTTTTTTGAAATAGGCATTTCAAAATTGCTATAAACTTCCTTCTGAGTACTGCTTTTGCTGTATCCCATAGGTTTTGGTAGGTTGTGTTTTCATTTTCATTTGTCTCTAGAAATTTTTAAATTTCCCTTTTAGTTTCTCTATTGACTCCTTGATTGATGAGGATTATGTTGTTTAATTTGCATGTGTTTGTAGTTTCCAAAGTTTCTCTTGTTATTGATTTCTAGCTTCATACCACTGTGATCAGAAACAATACTTAATATGATTTCAATTTTTTTGAATTTGTTAAGACATATTTTGTGGCCTACCATATGGTCTATTCTGGAGAGCATTCTATATGTACTAGAGAAGAATGCGTACACTGGTGCTACTGGATAAAAAGTTCTATATTTATCTATTAGGTCCATTTTGTCTAAAGCACAGATCAATTCCAGTATTTTCTTATTAATTTCTTTCTGGTTGATCTTTCCATCTTTGAAAGAGGGGTATTGAAGTCTCCTACTATTATTGTTTTGGTATCTATTTTTTACCTTCATGTTGATTAATTAATATTTGCTTTATATGTTTAGGTGTTCCAATGTTGAGTGCACATGTATTTACAATTGCTATGACTTCTTAATGACTTGAGCTCTTTAATAATGACTTTCTTTGTCTCTTGTGAAAATTTTTGTGTTAAGTTTTTTCTATCTAGAATAAGTATTGTCCCTGTCCTCTGTTGGTATTATTTGCAAGGAATATCTTCTTTCATCCCCTTTGAGGGATGAAAGCCTATGTGCATTCTTAAGGTGAAAGTGTGTCTCTTGTGTGCAGCATATAGTGAGAGCTTATTTTTTTTTTCTCTTTGCAACTTTTATTTTAGGTTCGGGGGTACATGTGCAGTTTTATTACATGAGTAAATTGCATGTCACTGGGGTTTGGAGCACAAATGAATTCGTCACTAAAGTAGTGAGCATAGTACCTGATAGGTAGTTTTTCAGTCTTCACCCTCCTCCCATCCTCCACCCTCAAGTATACCCTGGTTTCTATTGTTCCCTTCTTTGTGTCCATGTGTACTCAGTGTTTAGCTCCCACTTATAACTGAGAACATGTGGTATTTGGTTTTCTGTTCCTACATTAATTTGCTTAGGATAATGGCCTTCATCTGCATCCAGATTGCTGCAAAGGACGTAGTTTCATTGTTTGTTTATTTTTGAGGCAGTCTTGCTCTGTCACCTAGGCTGGTGTAGTGGCACCATCTCATTTCACAAACCTCTGCCTCCTGGGTTCAAGCAATTCTCCTGCCTCAGCTTCCCCAGTAGATGGGATTACAGGTGCCCACCACCAAGCCTGGCTAATGTTTGTATTTTTAGTAGAGACAGGGTTTCACCATGTTGGCCAGGGTGGTCTTGAACTTCTGACATCAGGTGATCTGCTCACCTTGGCCTCTCAAAGTGCTGGGATTACAGGTGTGAGCCACTGTGCCTGGCCAATTTCATTCTTTTTTATGGCTGCATAGTATTCCATGGTGTATATATACCACATTTTCTTTATCCAATTCACCACTGATGGGTATCTAGATTGGTTCCATAACTTTGCTATTGTGAATAGTAGAGCTTTGTTTTTTTAATCCATTCAGCCACTCTGTGTTTTAATTGAACAATTTAATCTGTTTACATTCAGAGTAATTATTGATATGCCAAGGACTTACTACTGCCATTTTGTTAAATGTTTTCTGATTGCTTTATAGCTTATTTGTTCTTTTTTTCCTCTCCTGTTTATCTTTGTGATTTAGTGATTTCCTTTAGTGCTAAATTTGTATTCTTTTATCTTTATCATTTGTATATCTGCTTTAGTATTCTGCTTTGTGGTTACCACAAGGCTTACATAAAATGTCTTATAGTTATAATAGACTATTTTATACTAATAACAACTTAAATTCAGTTGCATACAAAAACTGTAGAATTCTACCCTCCCACCAGCGTGTGTGTGTGTGTATAGTATATATAGTATATATACACACATATATATGTATATGTACATATATTCATATTTCTTTTTTACCTTTCTGAGTTGGGTGCAACCAGTTAATATTTTTTGATGTCACAATTTTCATCTTTTTAGCTTACATATTTCTTAATACTTTATTGTAGCTATCATTATTTTTGACTGTTTTGAATTTTAACTTCCATCCTAGAGTTATATATACCTATGTTTTGCAGAGTGCCATAGTAGTATCAGGGTATTCTGGATTTGAATATATATCTACCTTTATCAGTGGATTTTTTTACTTTTTATGTTTTCATGTTAGTAATGTTCTTTTTTTCTACTTGAAAAACTCCCTTAAGCATTTCTTATAGAGCAGCTCTAGTGGTGAAGAATTCCCTAAACTTTTGCTTGTCTGGGAAAGAGTTTATTTCTTCTTTTTTTCTGAAGGACAGCTTTGCTGTGTATAGTATTTTTGGCTGGCAGGTTTCTGTGCATCAGCACTTTGAATATATCATCCCATTCTCTCCTGGCCTGCAGGATTTCTACTGAGAAATCTGCTGATAGTCTAATGGAGATTCCCTTATATGTAACATGATATTTTTATCTTGCTGCTTTTAATATCATTTGTCTTTGGTTTTTGACAGTAATTATAAAGGGACCTCTTTGGGTTAACTCTGTTTGGAGATTGTTGAGCTTCATATATTTGGATGTTCATCTGTCTTCCAAGGCTTGAAACATGTTATTTTTCATTTATCAAAAACTTATATTCACTAATTTTAAAGTTTTACATTTTTTAAAAAAGTTATCTATATTGTCCTTTTATTTTTTGAACATATTAATCACAATTTAGAATCATTTTTGTTAATTCCATTACACTTCTTGGTTCTATTTATGTTCCCTGTTTTTTTCCTTGGTTTTTATGGTTTTCAGTAAATTCTTACCTTTCAATATATTTATTTATTTTTGGTTTAATGCCAGACATTGCGTATTCAAAATTTTAGAGATGACTCGAGGCTCTGGATGTTGTGTGATTTTCCTCCAGATAATATATTCTTTGTTTTGGGCAGTGAGATAGACAAGGGTAAAGGTTAGGAGAAATTCACCTAAATTCAGTTAGGATGAAGTAATTTAAATCTAGGTTTCAGTCCTTTGGAGAACTGACCTTTTTCAAATTACCATTTATTTTAGATACATGAAAACCATTTTCTATTTATTTTAATACAGTAAATAAATTCTCTGTTACCAGCACCTTCTAGGAACATTTTTCTTGTTCTTAGTTGGGTGAGAGAGCTAGATCTTAACCTATAGTTAGGGAGGAAAGATTGTCTCATTGGCTCTTCCCTGTCCACCAGAAACAGCAATGCTAACTTATATGCCATTACTTCTTGGCAGTATATTCAAGAATTGGGTTCTTTGAGAAGGACTAACTTACATGCCCATTACTTCTTGGCAGTATATTCAAGAGTTGGGTTCCTTGGGAGAAAAGAGGAGGACTAGAAGGTTGCTGAAATGTTAACATGAGACATCTTACTTTTTTTGTTGTCTCTGACTCAATTTTGCAAGATAATGTGAAGAGGGTGTGAATGACTTTCTAGGTCTACTCAGTCAAGTCACTTTTGCTACCACCTTTGAAATGCTGATGTACCTATACATATAACTACTAATACTGATACTGATCTGAGGGAGACCCCTTACTGCAGGGTTGGTGGCCTTGCTGAGTGGAAAACCTCATTCTCTATTCCTAATAGAACAGCTTGAACTTTTGGAATGGAGTAGAGGCCCTTGAAGGGAGGACTATAGCTATAAAGCTTGTGAAGATATTTGACAACATGCTTAATATGATACATTTAACTGGTTGGAAAGGATAAGCTTTTTTGTGTTCACAGCAAGCAAAGATGATTATAATCCAATTTTAGTTTTAAAATTGGGACTTGTGCTGAAACACCATAGTCTTGTGGGCAGAGTTGATTGCTTGTAGAAGACTTCTATTAGCAATCACTTATACTCGGTGATCCTCAGAAAACTGTTTCTTAAATTATTTTTTTCCCTTGATTAATATTTTAATATGGATACAAACACCAAGAGGCCTTCTTTGCAGTGTCATTTATCTCTTACAAATCTCATTTTCCTTTCAGATATTATCAGACGCGACACAGCCTCTTGAAAGTCAGAATTTTTCTCCTGTGGTGAGAGATGTAAGTTATGAGCAGAATATTTTTTCATAAATGTATTTTTTTACTACCATTTTTGCTCTCTTCTCTCTGTTTCTCTCTCTCTCCATCTTTGTCATTCTGTCTTTTCTCTATCAGTCATGACACCTTGTTTGTAGGACTAAAATGTGGATACTAAAGAAATGTCTTGTGTCATATACATTTAGGCAGTGATTACATCCAACGGTACATTACCTGATAAATATAAATATATCCAGACACTCCGGGAGAGCAGGTAAGTATTGTTCAAATCCTCTTGTTTTATACATTTATTCTTATCTTGGAATTCATGAGTATTTTTTAATGCTTCAATGGGAGTTCTTAATATTAGGTTTGTACACTATATAAATTTTGATAATGTTTGAAAATGTAGGAAATCCAAACTAAGTGGCTGGCTGAAACCACTGTGACTGTTTCCCACTTAACAGTAGTATAGCGTCATTTTGGCTTTCTAATAGCCTGTGTAGACGTATGGGTAAGCAAGCAAAAATCCAAAAGGATTGTCCTTCAGGTAGCTTCTTGTTTTTCTCTAGCTTTTGATACATGATCATGCCTCGGTTATTTTCTCAAAGGAAAATGAGCACACTAGCCTTTCTGTGGTGCTTTCAGTTTGGGTTTTAGTTGAGGATTTGGACTCTCTTTTGTTTAGTATAATGTTCAGGGAAGTGAATTCGTGGTTACAAATTAAGAGAGTTGTGAATAAACAATTGATGAAAGTAAGAGGTAGTTTTCTCCAGGGATTCTTATTAGGGGGAAGGTGCCAAAAAGTAATGTAGCAAATCTACTCAAGAGAATAGTTACTTTAGAAAGGTCTTTAGCTAAGGCCCTTGTTTCCTTAATTGATTTTACTACTTAAAGTTTGAAAACATTGATTTTATTTTTTTGGAATATTCTGGTCTCCTCCAGCCAATTGCCCTTGATCTGTGTTTATATCTACTCTGCTGGTCTTTTCACATTAAAAAAGGAACCCATGTACTGAAGTATCAGGAGAAACCAGAGTTGGAAAAAAAAATAACACAACTGTTTTATCTTCTTTTTCAGTGGTTCTACTACAAGCAGTAAACAAAGAGATCTGCCCAGATCAAGCGTACTATAGTTAGGCTTTTCCATATGTGCTGGTTTGATTATAGTTACTTTTTAATGTGTCAGTGAAATATACTGGCATAAGACACTAAGTATTTACTTTTTTTCTTTGTGAATAAGAGAAGCTAGCTCTATAACCCTGTAGGAGAGTTTCTTACAAGTAAAACTTCACATCTGTTTGTTTTTCATAGCTCTATGTTTTGGTTCTCATCATCCGATGGTCTTTTACACTACTGAAACTAGTGACATGTCTAACATGACTGGTCAAGATGATATCTTCTCTCTTATGTGTCATATTTCATGAAGCAGCAGGTTTACTTGGCTCCGATTGCTAGAACTTGCTGCCCTCTTTCCTGATGGAAACTTGTGCCAAGATACTGATAACAAAGGTTGCATTTTGAAAGGAAATTTACTTTATATTGAACCCTGCCTTATTCTTCTCTTCTTTTCATCACTTAGCACGTGATTATTAACCTGGAGTCTGGGGTTTGGGGGTACTGATGGGCTGGACAGTATTAGAATCTAGGAGTGAGTTTCTGTTTTGAGCATTTGGTATTTGGAATGTTTTAATTATACAAACTATAGAAAATATTGTTAGACAGAAAATATAATAACCGAATAATAGTGGTTCTCTCTGGAAGGTGAAATGGGAGATGGTAGTAGTTAAATGAGACCTCTTCACATCAGTAATATGTGTGTTGGGATACAGAAGGACAGGAATTTTTTATACTTATATTTATTTTTATTTGTTAAAAATTAATGAAAAGTTTTTTGGGTTAATGTTCAAGAGACATTATGGCCTAAAGATTCTAAATAACAGAGCCTACTTCAGTCCCTGGCACTAGGCCATTTCTATGGTTTCATGTTGATAACAGGGAATTTGATTCAAAAAATATTTAATGAGTAAATTCCATATTTAAGACAAAATGTGCTGAGCATTAATGGGTTTGTAAAGATGGGTAAGTCTTAGATGCTGCCTTGGAGGTCATAGTTTGTGGGAAAGACAGAAAGTCATCTGCCTGGAAGGTATTAATATAAATTCCAGCAGAATAGACTGTTCAAGAATTAAAATAATGCCTAACACTAGTCTTCAGCTTCTACATTTAACCCATGGCATGTGTGACTCAAAGTCATGGTTTTGCTATTTTCAAGTGACTCTAAAGATATATGACAAAACAATTTCTAATATGGATAATAATATTCTCTTCCTCAAATTGTTGTCTTCTGGGATTGTTGTGAGGAATAAATAAGGTTTCCAAGGTAAAACCCCTTGTATGATTTTGAACCACATCTTCTGGAAGGATAAAATGTGAGACCAAGTTACTCAATCACAAGTAAGCCAAGAAAATGTCCAGCATCTGCACCTCACTAGTAATACTGGGAATTCATGAAATACATCTATACGTCTGTAGATATATATCTCAGAGATGTCAGGTCTATTGTTCTTCATTGTACAAAATGTAAAATAATTAAAGAAACATGTTGTTATAGGGAACTCATTCATGTTGAAATTCTTATTTTAAGTAATGTGAAGAGAAAATGTTGCTTCATTATTTAGGTTTTAGTATGATTTGTGGAATGCAAGATTCTGTTATTTAAAAAAAAATTTTTAATTAGCCCCTTCCCTTTTTTTTTTTTTTTTTTTTTTTTAAATAGGGAACGTGCTCAGTCACTTTCAATGGGCACCAGGAGAAAGGTTTTGGTTCTTGGATCTGGCTACATATCTGAGCCTGTATTAGAATATTTATCAAGAGATGGCAATATAGAAATAACAGTAGGTAAATAAGCCCTAATTTTTGAAGAAGAAAAATGTATTTTATAGCGTGTTGACTTCTACATTTTAGAAGACTACTTTGTTTCTGAAATTTGAAAATTTATTTTTGGAGATGTTAAAATATATTTTACTCTGACATATCTAAAAATGTGACTTTTAATTACTGAAATAGGATCTGACATGAAGAATCAAATTGAACAGTTAGGCAAGAAATATAATATTAATCCTGTTAGCATGGACATTTGTAAACAAGAAGAGAAGCTGGGCTTCTTGGTGGCAAAACAGGATCTTGTCATCAGGTCAGTATCTGGCAAGAAATGAGTTTCATATTTTTGTTGTTATTTCTTTTCTCATTTTTCTTTCTCTTTCACTTCTCCTCTCTTCATACTCCTTTGGAGTAAAGTTTTTAATTGAAGTATGGGTCCAGAAGGTGCACAAATCATAAGTATATAGCTCAATGAATTTTCACAAAGTGAACACATTCTGTGATGATTATTTATGTCAGGAAACAAGAGTATCAGTAATTCCCCAGAAGCCCTCCTGGTGCCTCTTTCTATTCACTTACCCCATCCTCTAAGGGTAAACACTATCCTGGCTTCTGACATTTAGTTTCTGCCTGCTTTCAGACTTCATATAATTGGAATCATTCAATATATCCTCATTTGTGGCTTCCTTCTTCCATTCAATGTTGTGATTACAAGAGTCATTTGTGCTATTGTCTGAAATGATAATTTATTCATTCTCATTGCTGTATAGTATTTCATTATGTGAATATACCATTATTATTTATTTGACTACTATAGATATTTAGGTTGTTTCTGGATTTTGGCTATTATAAGTCACACTGCTATACACATTTCGGTATTTGTCTTTTAGTGACCATTTCACTAAAACAGTAATTATACATTTCTGTTGGGTATGTACTTAGAAGTGGGATTGCAGGTCATAAGGTATTAATGTTTTATATACTTAAGTGTCTATTTTATCCTTTGGAGTTATAAAGCTTAAATGGAATAAGTAGATTATTTAGCCTTATGACCATTTTAAGTCTCATCATAGCAACAGATCCTGAAATAGAGTATTACTAACAAAAATGCAGATCTAACATCTAGACACAGAATTACATGAGATTCACTTTATAACTAAATTTGGTTTTGATATTTGAGTACATATGTACACAAAGAAAGGAACAACAGACATCAGGGCCTGCTTAAGGGTAAAAGGTGGGAGGAGGGTGAGGATCGAAAAACTACCCATTGGGTACTATGCTTATTACCTAGATAATGAAATAATCTGTACACCATACCCCCATAACATACAATTTACCTGTATAACAAACCTGCACATGTACCCCTGAACCTAAAATAAAAGTAATAAATAAATAAATAAATAAATTTGGTTTTGAAATGTCAAAGTGATGAAAATAGTCATTCATTCCTAGAATTTTCCCAAGATGAGAAGAAGAAAGTTATCTGTTCCCTCATAGTGATTACCTAGTCACTTTCACAGATCAGATTCAAATTGTATCTTTGGAGGAAGTTCTGTGATGTTCTGCTTTAAAAAAAAAAAAGCAGGCTTGGAAAACATATAATGAAAGGTAGTTCTGTAGGCTGGCATTTTTACATTTCTCTTGATATCTTTAAATACAGGCTAACTTTATGCACTTAAAATGTTACTCAATTTATATAAATGTTATGAGCGTTAATTTTTATTTAGAAAAAATTGACTAATGACCAACTGAACCTCTCTGATATTACCATGAAAAGAAATTCTGATTCAAAATAGAATGATCTAGCCTTCTGAGTAGAACAATAATTTATTTTGCCACACAGAGGTATCTAAATATATCATTTTTAATTAAAAGTAAAATAACATGATAAAATCCATTTGGAACAGAATCTGAAATAAAATGTGACAAGATAATGGACAAAGACATCAATCTCTTAATATGTCCAAATTTTAAAATTTAGCAAACTAGTGGCCTTCAATAGGATTTAGCATTAGCAAAAACTGTTTTATATTTAATGTTTTCTCATTTGGTGTATTTTCTATGCTGAATAATGGTAATGCCATTAAACAATGTTATCCTATAACATTCCTTAAATTTTTTTTTTCTTTTTTTTGAGACAGTCTCATTTTGTCACCCAGGCTGGAATGCAGTGGCACAATCTTGGCTCACTGCAACCTTCACCTCCCAGACTCAAGTGATCCTCCCACCTCAACCACCCAAGTAGCTGGGACTACAGGCACTTGCCACTATGCCTAGCTAAAGTTTGTATTTTTAGTAGCAATGGGATATCACCATGTTGCTCAGGCTGGTCTTGAACTCCTCAAGCAATCTACTTGCCTCAGCCTCTCAAAGTGTCAGGATTACAGGCATAAGCCACCATGCCTGGCTAATTGTTTTATTTTTTAAGTTGGGGAAAGAATGTTTTGATATAACCACAGTGATAGGGACTACAAAAAAATGAGTAAAGAATATGTTTCACAAAAAATGTTTAGTAATATGTACAATTCTCATAGTTATAATTTTTCAAATTTAGTTTTTAATTTAATACAAAGTAGTAATTGATTTCAAGTTTCTTTGAAAATTCCACATGTATTTTGTGTGTATTTTTCACAAGTGACATTTTCGACCTTTTGGAGTAATTGGGTTGGAGTCAACTTAAATAATTTAAGAGTATGTCCCATTGAGTGCTTACTGTATCATATTCGAGACGAATTATGAACTCTAATCCCTTCGTCTAAAAAAGTACCACAGGCAAAGTCCTATCATTCTACTTCTCAGCCTATTATAAGGCCAAAGTTTTAAAATATTATTAGATCTTAGTAAAATTTTGATTGAGCAAGTTTAATATGGAGAATGTGATTTAAAAATTTCTGTTTAACCTTTAAGATGATGACATTGCACATTTTCTATTAATATTTGGTTCTAATAGTTTTGCGAGTATTTTGCTCAGTGGTTTCCAAAAGTCTACTAAATTTGTTAGCAGTAATTATTTTTGGTTTAAGGAAACAAAAACACAGAGACCAGGAGCTTTTGATACTGATAAAAGACATACACAATTTTATTCTGCATTATAATAAATTTAAATAGCAATACTCTATTCTGTTGACCTGAGGAGGAATAAATGCCTGAAAAGTGGTTTTATTGTTTTTTTTTTTTTATGAAGTAGAGAAAATCTGAACTATGCAGAATGAATTTGACAAGTACAATGATATAGTGTAATATTGTTTCTGTTGGTTTTTATTTTTTTTTGTTGGTACTGTAGACAGCTTTACCAAATAGGCATTAAAAAACAAATTAAATATTATCATGTAATTAACAGAGTATTTTATTATTCCTAGAATAGAATATGGATATGCTCATTTTTATAACACTCATATTTATGAAAATTTAATTTCTTTTGATTATGCAGTCCCAGAGCCAAATTATTATACCACAGCCAAATTTGTTGAAAACCGAATCAAAGTTGAGCTTTGAGTACAGCATCATCCATTGTTCACCATGTGGATTTTTAGCCATTTTGATAGCATTTACACTGATCAACACCGTTAAAGCCTGTCTCCTCCGTGGACCCTTCCTGGAGTCTACTCAATAATGTAATACATTAGCTGTAGAAATATAGGGATGAATGGAGCAAATTCCATTAAATGTTATAAATATATAACTGGATGCATGCAGAGGAAGGATATCTGGCTTTGGGGAAATCTGGGAAAGCTTTGTGGAGGAAAATAACTCTTTAGAAATTTCTTAAAGAGGCAGGTATAATTTGGATTGGGGTTTTCTGTCGTGGGCTTTCCACTAAAATAGGGCTGCTGTTCTTTTTACCTTCACATCTTCCAAATGGCTATCAGGAAGTGTCAAACTAGGTCAAGATGGCCCATGTATTACATTATTGAGTAGACTCCAAGAAGGGCCCAAGGAGGAGATAGGCTTTCATGGTGTTGATCGGTGTAAAGGTATCAGAATGGCTAAAAATCCACAGGGTGAACAACAGATGATGCTGTACTCAAAGCTCAACTTTGATTGGGTTTTCAACAATTTTGGCTTTGGGATTATAATTTGGTGCTGGGTCTGCATAATCACAAGATATCAAATTTTCATAAATATGAGTGTTATATAAATGAGTATATCCATAGTCTATTGTAGGAATAATAAAATACCCTGTCAATTACATGACAATATTTAAGTTGTTTTTTACTGACTATTTGGTAAAGCTGTCTGCAGTACCACCAAAAAAATAAAAACCAACATAAACAATATCATACTACATCATTGTACTTGTCAAATTAACTCTGCATACTTCAGATTTTCTCTAGTTCATTAAAAAAACAAAATAAACAATAAAACCACTTCTCAGGCCTTTATTCCTCAACAGGTAAATAGAATAGAGTATTGCTATTTAGATGTGATAACAGGGTGAATTTATTCTGTGGCCCACAGGGAGTCATTGATCACGTCTTTCCAAGGGAATATTTATTTATTTTACTTTCAACTTTTATTTTACAATCAGGGGTTACATGTGCACATTTATTACAAAGGTATATTGTGTGATTCTGAGGTCTGGAGTATCAATGAATCTGTCACCAAGTAGCAAGCATAGTACCCAGTAGGTTGTTTTTCAGCCCCTGCTCCACTTCTTATCTCTTCCCTCTTGTAGTCCTCAGTGTCTATTGTTTCCATCTTTAATTCCATGTGTACCCAGTGTTCAGCTCCCACTTACTTGTAAGTGAGAGCCTGCAGTATTTGGTTTTCTGTTTCTGTGTTAGGTCGCATAAGATAATAGTTTCCAGTTGCATCCATGTTGCTGCAAAGAACACTATTTCATTCTTTTTTATGGCTATGTAGTATTCAATGGTGTATATGTACTACATTTTTTAATCCAATTCACGGTTTTTGTTTTTTTATTTTTGTTTCATTTTGTTTTGTTTTATTGAGACAGGGTCTCACTCTATTGCCCAGGCTAGTGTGCAGTGCTGTGATCTCAACTCACTGCAGCCTTGACCTCCTGAGTTCAAGTGATCCTCCCACTTCAGTCTCTGGAGTAGCTGGGACTACAGGCATGCGCCAACATGCTGGGCCAATTTTTGTATTTGTTGTAGAGATGATGTTTCACCATCTTGTCCAAGCTGGTCTCGACTCCTGGGCCCAAGCGACTCACCTGTCTTTGGCCTCCCAAAGTTCTGGGATTACAGGCATGAGGCACAGCACCTGGCCCCAATCCCACTATTGATGGGCATGTCAATTGATTCCATGTCTTTGTTATTGCGAATAGTGCTGTGATGAATATGTGAGTGCCTGTGTCTTTTTGGTAGAATAATCTATTTTCCTTTGGATAGATAACCAGTAATGCGATTGCTAAGTCGAATGATAGTTCAACCTTTAGCTCTTTGAGAAATCTCTGAACTATCCTCTGTAGCAGCTGAACTAATTTACATTCCCACCAACAGTGTATAAGTGTTCCCTTTTCTGAGAGAATAATTTAATCAGAACAGTACCTTAAGATGCAGCTTTAATACAGTTCAAGTACCTTAGAAAGTAGAGTTGAAAAAGGGAGTTTCTGATTAGTTTCTTCCTGTTTTCAAGCTTGTTGCCTTATGTATTGCACCCTCTTGTGGCCAAGGCCTGCATCACAAACAAAGTTAACATGGTCACTGCAAGCTACATCACACCAGCACTAAAAGAATTGGAAAAGAGGTAAGTTTTAATCATTTTAAACAAACTGAGTGGATCCATGGCATTGTTTTTATTTTATATCCAAGTTTTCCTTTTTCCTCTTTCCACCTGCTGCAGTGTGGAAGATGCTGGCATCACAATCATTGGTGAATTGGGATTGGACCCTGGTCTGGATCACATGTTAGCAATGGAAACAATAGATAAAGCCAAGGAAGTGGGAGCCACGGTGAGCCCAATTTGTACCCAAAGGCAACATTAAAATGTCTAAATTCTTGTGTACAGAATCAAAGTATGAGTTATAATATAGCAACACCTTTAATCAAAGTTAAAGATTTTTTTTTTTTGAGACTGAGTTTTGCTCTTGTTGCCCAGGCTGGAGTGCAACGGCACAATCTCGGCTCACTGCAACCTCCATCTCCCAGGTTCAAGTAATACTCCTGCTTCAGCCTCCCAAGTAGCTGGGATTACAGGCACGCACCACCATGCCCGGCTAATTTTGTATTTTTAGTAGAGATGGGGTTTCTCCATGTTGGTCAGGCCAGTCTCAAACTCCTGACCTCAGGTCATCTGCCCCCCTCAGCCTCCCAGAAATTTTAAATAATATCTTATAACTGCAAAAATATCCATACAGGAAAACAATGTCCAAGTCTTAGGTAGCAACCAATTTTTGGAGAAACAGATGCTACTATAAAATTTTGGCTTAATACAAATTTTAGACTACCTTGAAGATTCTGTAATAAGATTTGACTTTTAAAAGTAAGAAGAATCTTTGGGTATCAGCAATCTGTTGATATGAAATATCTTTTATGAAATAGTACCTTTGGCGAGGTACTATTGGGTGTAAATGGGATGATTCAGATTGTTTTAGGTTTTTTGAATGTGTGTGTATATATATGTATTAAAATTATATATATGTAAATATATAATTTGAATACAAAAGTTAGTAGGAACTGACTAAGCAGAATTGAACTAAGAGTTGGATTTTTAACTGAACAAAATGTTAGTCACTATTTTTACAGTTTTTTTAAAAAAACATATATATAAAATTAACTGTTATTTAATCAAATGGTACATGCTTTGAAGATGTATTTTTGAATGCCTTAGTAACTTTAAGAATGAAAAACTGTAGCAAGTTTACTCCATTCATATCATTGTCTTCAATTAATTACTTAGACATTCTCTAAGTTGTGAATTCTTCCTTATTTATTGATTCTTTAATTTATAGATTGAATCATATATTTCCTACTGTGGTGGGCTTCCAGCCCCTGAACATTCAAACAATCCATTGAGATATAAATTTAGCTGGAGTCCAGTGGGAGTTTTGATGAATGTAATGCAGTCTGCCACCTATCTGCTCGATGGAAAGGTGAGGAATCTTATCCAAGCATAGTGATATCAACCTGCAATAACAGCCTGAGACAGTCTAAATACTCCCTGATCCCAAACCCTTTAATAATGGTGATGCTGCCTGTCTCCATTATCTCCTCCTGTGTTGTTTCCCAGTGTATATTTTCTGTTCTATTTAGCACGGTATCCTTGCTGTTCCTAGCAAAGCCTGTGCCTATTCTTTGCCCTAGGCCTTCTTGCAAGTTGTTTCTGCTATTCAAAAATTCACTTCTCTATATATGTAAACACTGGTTATCTCTTGATTTATTTCAGCATGACAAACATTTTCTGAGTACCTACTATGTGCTGGACTTTGGGCAAGTTACCCAAGACTGTCACAGAGAATGAAATTCATGACCTCAGAAAGCTCACAGCTGGACTGGGGATGGGGCTCTTGGAATGGAGGGTTTGGTGTGCTGGGGAAAGAAACTATAATTTCTTCCCCAGCTGCCATGTAACAGAGCATAAGAACTCTCCAAGTTTAATATTATTTTCATTATTTTACAATAAGAAAGCTATGGCTCAGAGAGCATGTCCAAGGTCATTTGGCTGAGATTCAAACCCAGGTCTAACTAACTCTTAAGGCTTTTTTTCTCCTTTTGCCAGATTGCCTAATGGCTGGAAAGACAGACATGGGAATAAGTAATTATAATTTAATAGGGAAATTTCCAAAGTATGTTAAAGTGGCTCAGAGCTACAGATGGGAGAACAGTTTAATTGGCCTTGGTGAAGGGGTTGGGGGAAGGAGGATGGGGAAAAGAAAAACTAGTGGAGAAGAGGATGTGCTTGGCCTTGAAGGATATGAGGGTGCCAGCTAGGCAGGGATGTTAGCACTCATGGTATGACAGTTTTATAAGGGGAAAAATCAGGTTTAGGGAGTTAAGATAACAGCTACACTTAAAGAGATGGCAAGTGACAGAGCCAGTATCCAAATCATGTCTGTCTGACTTCATAGTTTATGCTCATAGTTTGGAGAAAAATGAAACGAGACTCAGAGTGCCTCTTTGAATTGTGTGTTGTAGGCACCTCATTCACCTTGCCCTAGTCCTGGCCCTGCAGGGAGTGATGAGTAATATGATCACATAGATGTGTCTTAAAAAGATTATTTTAGCATCAATATTTTACATTGTCAAGGTATTTGTGAATCGAAATGTATTTCAGGAGTAGAGAGAAAGAATTTCTTAAGCAACAAGGTGAATGCTGTTATTAGCCATGGTCTTTTGTGCCTGTGATATAGAGCATAACTCATACTTGGCTTGGAATTACAAGGGGAGTTTAAAAAGTACCAGCGCCTCATCCCCAAAGATTCTGATTTGCCTGGGTTTGAGGATTTTTTAAATCTTCCTAGTGATTCTAATATGCAGCTGAATTTGAGAACAACTGATTTAATGATCAGAGAATCACAGCTGCACTTAAAATAGTACTAAACAAGCAGGACACTTTAGCTTGATGCCGGAATGATGTGTGACATGTTTCAGGATAATAAACAGGATCAATGAGTTCTGGTCTAATTCCTGGCATCCCTCATAACATAGCCAAAGACCAGGCAGTTGAAAAGATCTACCGGATGTCAGTTTCCTGATGTGTAATGTGAGCACTGATGTTCCATCCAATTCTTTAATTCTATGAATCATGAAGGTTTGGACCAGAATCTTAGTCTGATGTTTTACCAAGCACACATCCTTTTACATGCTACAGCCTATCTCCTATTGCATTCCAACAGCTCCTTTTACCTTCTGCAATCTTAAGAGACTGGCCTATGTTTGGTATAAATTAACATGTGAAGGCAGGACAAATTCTTGCCTCAGTTGAGTAAAACACTTATTTTTAGGAGGCCTTATAAATGCTAAAGATGGTAACAACGAAAGGGTCAGCAGAGTGCAACCATGTAAAAGAAAGAGCAAGGAACTTGGTATCTGTGGGCCTGGCTTTGTGCTCTAGCTCTGCCATTACTGGTTGTGAGCTTTGGGTTCCTTGTCTGAAGATAAAGACAATCATGCCAGCCTTCCAGTGTTCTTAGTCAGTGAGGTCACATAGATTGCAATCTGCCTAACAGCAGATTGTCAGCCATGTAATAAATCTAGCAAATATTAGCTACATAAGGAAATTAGTGGTTGTGAGAGTTTAAGACAAACAAGAGGTTATTTTCAGGTAGCAGAAGTTGTATTTGTTGAATTCGAAGTTCTCCTCTTTCATCCTAAATGTCTTTTGTAAAAATGAGTGCTTTTTGCATCTCTCTGACACTGGAGGATACCAAGAGAAAATATGACACTTTTCTTTGCTAAAATGATACTTTTTTCAAGGTCCCACCTGCGTTTCCTCTTGTGGATGAAGCTTTTTGTGACCACTCCAGCCTCTGTTCACTATTATTTTGCCTGAACTGAATCAAAGAATCAGACACTTTGTTTGTCTGTGTCTTAAGAATTTTCTAGGTGCTGCATTATTCAGTCAGTAATTCAAGTGTATCAGTCTGTTTCTCAAGCCAGATTGTTGAACAACTTAAAACCTCTCTTGTATTCTTGCCCTTCACTCCCTCTGCCATCACCACCCTCCACTGTGGAGCGGGTCTTAAGTAATTCACAGAATCATAATGGGAAACCAAGTCACCTCTCTGACTTCTGCTTGAATTTGAAGACTTAAACTTTTCCAGAAATTGGTCAGTGGCCTATGAATTTGAATGTGTCTCATTGTCTTACATCTTTGTAGTAATTTCTAGCCACTTGTACTATTTCTAACTTCTAATTTGATTCCTAACAATTCTGATTTTCTTCCACATATTCGGAGACAGTGATTTCATCTTCTCTTAGTTTCATTCCCCTCACAGTGGTGGTGTACTTTTTTACATTGTTGGCATTTGGGAGTGATATGGCAGAGCTTTGCCATCATCTTCTGCAGTGTTTCCCAGTCTAACCTGGCAAAACATGTAGTCTAAGTGAGAAGTGTGCTTGCTCTGCAAACATCGCTTTAAGATAAGTTTTCTAGCCCTCTATCCATTGCCTGCCACCACCTTGACTGCAGCACCCAACCCTTTGGAAATCAAGAGCTACCACTATCTTCCTTTGCCTGTACCAATTCTTTATGCAACTTTCAGTGCATCCCAGGTGGCATAATCCAGAATGCTGTACTTTGTCAATATCCCTTTCAAAATACTGATCCAGAAATAAGCATGATTAAGGGGACAGTGTAGTTGAAGGAACACAGACATTGCAGTCAAATAGAACTGGGTTCAGATTTGCCTTTGGGTGACTCAGCCTCAGTTTTCACCTCTGAAAAATGAGTTGTTTCATGGATTAAAGATAATGCCCAGTACAAGGCACTGGGCACATAGTAGGCCCTGAAAAAATGATTGTATATTTCCTTATTAGTTTAGTGATCAAGCTTACTGTGATTATTTGAATATATATGATATATTTATTCAAATATAACAGTGATTCTCTCTACTTGGGAGATTTGTATTTGTGTTTGTGTGTATGTGTGAAAGAGTTGGACCTAGAGAAGCTTGCAACAGCAGTGAATAATGAGCCTGAGCATTGTCAGAGCAGAAAGAAATGTATATTCTCTGCAAAACAGACAAATATGTTTCTGTTGTCATTCAAATTATTAATAAAATAATAAACAAGAAAGAACTTATTGTTGAACTACATTATATACCACTAGAAATACAACTACGAATGAATATCAAATGACAATGATTACCCAGTAATTTTTGGGTCAGGTTGCTTAGCCACCTGCCATTCTCACTAAATGAATCATTGCCATTCAGCTGACATTTCTCCATCTTCTTTGTAAGGATTTCATGATAGACTTATGAACTTGCTGCTTTATTTATGATTGGTAAGCTAGAATATTGTGGTCATTATTGAATTTTTCTTTCAGAAATTTTCCTGACTTTCAAACAAGCAAACAAAACTTAAGAATTGTCATGGGTTATAGAAATGAGATGGGTGTGAAGACCCTAAAAGTCAACGTTTGCTTTTTTGTTTTTAAGAGATGGTGTCTTGCTGTGTCGCTCAGGCTATTCTCAAACTCCTGGGCTCAGGCCATCCTCCTGCCTCAGCCTCCCGAGTGAAGTAGCTGGGATTACAGGTGGGCACCATCATGCCCAACATTTGCTTTCTTAGATTTTTTCAAAAATTTAGAATTCTATTAAATAAACTGGTTTTAAAGAAGTAGTTCAGAAATCATCCCCCCTTTGGAAATGTTTACTCTGCAGTCTAGTAGGGTTCACAAGAAAATTAAATGGAAGGCATTCCTCACATCCTTCATTCAGATTTTCACTTTTGAAATTTTAAATGGTGCTTGGCACTCTCCAAAGTGAGTCTCTGAACTGAAAAGACTCCAGTGGTCCTAACATTGCAGTCAGCATAGCCCTTTTCTTTCTGGGGCTTCATCCACAGATAAATGAGTTTCCATTTTCTCTCTCATACAAAGGCACGTTCAGAACCCATCTACTAATAAGGCATGAGAATCATTAAGTTTAGCCAAAGGCCTCTTCAGGCAAATCCTGTGAATCCACCTTAAAGTACATTGGCAGCTCCCTGGTACAGTGTTATTTTGTGCAGCTTTAGAGAAACTGGTCAGAAATTGTTTCCAGTGGTACAATAAGGATAAAATTTAGTTCCACCAGCAGCAACAACCAGAATTCTCAGACCTAATTTTATCACTCCAGAATGCTTTCCTTTATCTCAACAATAATAATAAGCCAATAAACTAGAAGAAAATTTAGTCTTTTAATTAAAATTAGAGACAAAGAAATCCTTCATTGCATTTTGAGTATGTGTGATGGGGGTAGGGGTATGGGAAAGAGAAGTACTGAGATATCAAAAGATTTTTATTTCATCACTCATGTTATTCCCTTCACAATTTGTGCGATCTTCAATGCATAGATAGTAACTGCTCAATAAATTTAGCTGTATGAATGAAATGTATGTGACTGATGCCTAATGTGGCATTTAGAAGGCTCATGAAAGTAAAAGAAAAGAATGAGAATATTGATTGTTGTTTGAGCATAGAAGCCATTTAAATAATTATCTGTTGCTTTTAGCTTATTTAAGTTTATTTTTTAAACATTTTTATATAAAATAATTTTGTTTATTTTTTAAACATTTTTTATTTTTAAATATTTAGAAAATAAATTTTTTAAAAATTAAAATGTTTATTTTAAATTTTTTTTCTAAATGTTTATATTTTTTAAAAAGGCAAACTCTAGTGGGAAATAATTTAGTGCCATTTTATCCAGGGGAAGGAAAAAAATTGAAAATAAGACCTTATGTTTAGAAAAACTAAATGTTTTAAAGTCAAATTTTAAAGCTTGAGAGAAGAATTGCTTTGTGAATTATGATATTAGTAGAACAGCTTAAGTATAGGATGATGATTATGGTGGTTTCATTATTTTTATTTTTTTTTTCAAATTTCTGTTGCTTTCTTTGTTCGTATAATGCAGATAAGCCCTAAAAGAAAGGAACAGCTGTAACCCCATGTGTGCCTTCTCAATGTTCCTCAGGTTGTGAATGTTGCAGGAGGCATCTCCTTTCTTGATGCCGTTACGTCCATGGATTTTTTTCCAGGATTAAATTTGGAAGGCTATCCTAACAGAGACAGTACGAAATATGCTGAGATTTATGGCATTTCTTCTGCTCACACTTTGTTGCGGGGGACACTGAGATATAAGGTAAGCAGCTGGACTTTAGATTCAACATGTTGCCAGTTGTGATGTAAGTGATGTGTACACTTAATTTTTCTTAGTAGTCAAAATAATTAAGATGATAAACCAAGTTGGAGTCTATTTTTTCAGGAATCTTATGATTGATTGAATATTTTAGGAGACTCACCTCAAAATAAAAAGATAATTAATTGACTCATTAGGAGTTGGGGACAGGCAGGGCTTCAGGCTTAGTGAGAGTTGGAGATCAAGTGACTTCCCCAGGACCTGACTTCTCGTAACGTCTCAGCTCTTCTTTCCAGTATTCACAGGAGTTTCAAGTGCTGTGCGATGGCAGAGTGGTGGCAGTGCTCCCAGCCTCTCAGGATCAAATTCAGTGGGAATAAAAAATGATACCGTTCTAATAGCCAAAAATACGATTTTTGTCTCATTAGCTCCCTAAGGTCAGTGGGATAAAATGTGCCCATCTACTTTGGCCTATGTTATATGTCCTAGAACTGGAGATGGAGTCAATGTCATTAAAAAAACATGGACTGGGGCGGGAGGAAACGGACGGGATGAAAGGGGCTTCCCCAGAGCAAATCCAAAATGTTTTTAAACCACAAAATGGGGAGTACATTCTAGGAGCATTAATGCAAATGTCCACTACACATTTATTGATCACAAAAAAAGCAGTTACAAGTGTGACCTAATCAAGACAACTGGTGTAATAGTTTTCTAGCATAATATCACAAATTGGGTAGCTTGAAACAATAGGGGTTTATTCTCTCACCATTCAGGAGGCCAGAAGTCTGAAATCAAGATGTGTGTGAGTAGGGTTGGTGCCTTTTGGAGGCTTGACTTTGAGACACATCCATCCAATTTGTGCATCAGTTTCATATCACCTTCTTCTGTGTGTCTCACTGTGTTGCATCCTCTTCTTATTAGGGCACTAGTCATTGGACTTAGGGTTCACCCTAAATCCAGGTTGATTTCATATTGAGGTCCTTAATTAATTCTATCTGCAAACATTCAAGTGAGGCCATATTCTGAGGCTGTGGATGCCCATGAATTTGGCGACAGGGCCCTAAACTCAACCTAATGTAACCAGCATACCTAAAATACATGTATTTCTCAGGATCAGAGACCTGACTGCAAATCTGTCTGTCTTGTGAGATTTCCTGGCTAAGGCCAGAGAGGGGATTTGTCTCATGTGTGTTATCTAGTATTCTCTAATTATCTTTTTATCTGGAAGATGTAAGGCACATGGACCTGTCAGTGATGACCCTTCAATCTTGTGCCTGCTTTTCTGTCGTTCTCTTATCTTTTTTTGCTGGCTGTTCCTTTTGCCTGGAACTTTTCCTCCAGGTATTTGTATCATCCTCCTTCGGGCTTTATTCTTTTCTTCTCTGCAGCCCTGCCCCTGGTAACCATGGTTTTATTCTCTATCTCTGCATCTTTTACTTTCGTAAAAAAAAATTCTGCATGTAAGTGAGATCATGCAATATTTTACTTTTTGTGTCTCACTTATTCCACTTAGCATAATGTCTTCCAGGTTCACCTGCCTATCTGTTCTTAAAAAGAAAACAACCACTATATTTCTTACTCTTGAGAGCTTCTGTTACATTTATGGGCACTTAGCATTTACTTCTCAGCATTTTAAGTTATAATTTTATGTATATTTTTCTTATCTCCCAAAAGAGATTGTAAGCTCCTAGAGAGCAGGTGCTTGTACTCCATGAATATGATTTTTTCATTGCCCAGGAATCAAATGAGACATCAGTGATAATGTCCTACCGAGATCTAGGAGCTATGGCTCTTCTACCAGCCTTTAGGCACAGTAGAAATTCTAGTCTGAACTTATGCATACTATCCCCAGCTCTGGCAGATTTCTTGATCTATTTTCTTCAATTTGTTCAAAGAATATGAGTAAAAACTTTTTTTTTTGGCCAGCAGTTAGGATATATAGCTTTCAGTATAGTCTTTTGACAAACATATAGATCCAGGAATGAAGGATTTTAATAGATTTAAACATTGAATAAAGGTCTCAACAAGGTGTGCGAGTGGGAGCCATCCCCATGGATTCCTTGAGGATGGAAGATATCACAGTGTTCGTAATCATGAGGGCCACCATCCTGGGCAATGCCAGCAATCCATTGGTAACCCTAAAATTCTTTCCAGTATTGGAGATGAGATACCATCATTCAAATATGACAGAGAGGCCTTGACCACTCTCCTTCTCTGCCTGCCTGTCACCTGCTTGTCCTTCTAGACGCAGGTTAATAGCACCTTCCTGTGGTATCCTCCCTAACTCCTTCCCCTTGAACCACCCAGCCCCATCTATGTGAGTTCCCCTTCTTTTGTGCTCCCACAGCTATGTTTTCCTCTAACCTAGCACCTATTAATATAATACTGTACTACAATTTAGTCATCAGTGGTGATGCATTTTTGCTTACCATGGACTAGGCATTATTTGCTTGACTTATCTGACCCTTCTGTTGACTGCAGTTTCTGCATGGATGAGACTGCAATTTTTTCATCTCTGTGGCCTCAGTCCCTAGCACAAGTCTGACATATGGCAGCAGTTTGCTAAATGCTTATTGATGAATGAATACATAAAATAAATTCATTTCTAGGGGTCAGCATAAAAATATATTTCTGAGATTAATAAATAGCTCAGAAATCAGTATTTTAGATGTTGGATAAAGGGATCTCTAGCACCTATCAGGTCCCAGAAGCGAGCTAAACAAGCTAGTGATATTACTTTTCTGTTTCTCCTCTTTGAAGTATATTTGCATTTGAATTAGAGCAAATGAGAATTCTTTTTTTAGTAACCTTTGAACAGTTTGAACAATATAACCTTTAGAAATGGGAAAATTGCTAGTTGGCCAGACATTCAGTAGTGAAATATCTGACGTTACAGGAACTATTTTATATTTTAAAACCTCTGTTGCTCCCTAGAATTATTTCCCTCTCTCTCTTTTCTTCTCTCTCTCTCTGCTTGAGCAGTAATTGCAGATAAGATAAATTTCTTATCTTAGCCTTCTCACCCTGCTTCCCATTTGCACACTGGGGAATAAACCATTATGGTCTTTCTTCACTTCATCTATTATTCAGAATCTATTTATCCAGCCATTTGTTCTCTTTTAGGGATTGGAATGCTGAATAATGGATTGGAATGTTGAATAATGTTGAATACCTTCCTATGGTATCCTCCCTAACTCCTTCCCCTTGAACCACCCAGCCCCATCTATGTGAGTTCCCCTTCTTTTGTGCTCCCACAGCTATGTTTTCCTCTAACCTAGCACCTATTAATATAATACTCTACTACAGTTTAGTCGTCAGTGGTGACGCATTTTTGTTCACCATGGACTAGGCATTATTTGTTTGACTTATCTGCCCCGAAGTGGGCATTGGGATGAAGAATATGCACACAAATAAAATATAATATAACATAATATAAAGATACAATTTCCCTGCTTTCAATACCTTCAGTACAGCAGCTGAATAGACAATTAATTATGAGCTGCATTAATTGCCATGATAAAGGTATATACAAAATGCTACAAGAAGGGAGTGCCCACTTGTGAGTGCTAGGGGACTCACAAGAGGTGCTAAACTGGGTCTGAAGGGAGGAGAAAACATTTCATAAATGAAGAAGTGTGGCCACAACATTCCAGTTACAGGAGCAGCATGTACAGAGGCCCTGGTTTCTGGAAGAACACAGCACATTTGGGGAATAGTGAAAGTGGAGATCTGTGAGTTAGGCTAGATGAGCATGTTGTGATGGGTTTTATATAATATACCAAGGACCTCAGGTTTGCTTTGTAGACAATGAAGGACATATGAGGAATTTTTATCAGAGTGATGATATCATCATATCTTAGAAAAATCTCTGATTCCTACCTCTTTTTCTGCTCTCCATATATCTTGGGGGTGGTGGCTCTAATTAGTAGATTGGATTATCTGCTTTTGAGGAGGATATTCTTACAAGTTCCTCCTTCCATTATAAGAAAGAGCTCAACTGACTGTTCTGTTAAATAATACTCTGCTGAGCTGACAGCATATAACACATAAGAAAATTTGCCCTTATGCTGCCCGAAAATTCCATTCACATGTTACCCAGAAACAGAAGTAAAGACCTAAGTTTTGCAAGGTCTTTTATGTAAACCAGTAGAATTGTTATGACACTATTGATCTCAGTTTGAGCTTGAAATTGGTTGTATCTATATCCTCAATACTTTTTTGGTGGGTTGTGGGGAGGGGTTTCTAGTAAAGACAGGAAAACCTGCTAGGCAAATTCTAGAAGAGCTGTAGTACTCATATCATCAATATAAACAGTTTTCTAAATTAGTTACAAAGATATATCCCTCTTTTCAAAAATATTTTAAGTTTTTTCATTGGAAGAGAAAAATTTTATATACTGCTTATTAATTCTTGTTTCAGGGATATATGAAAGCTTTGAATGGATTTGTAAAATTAGGTCTTATAAACAGAGAAGCGCTTCCTGCCTTTAGACCTGAGGCCAACCCTCTCACCTGGGTGAGTGACTCCGAATTACGTTCTATCTGCTCCTTTTCAGAAATACCTTCTGAAATGGTCGGGGGTGAACTCTGCTTTGGATCTGCAAAAGATCCTATTTTTTAGCTTATGAGCAGGAAGATAAATCCTAACTCCAAAGCCCCCTTTCCCTTCACTGTTGTGGAAGAATGGAGAGGGTGTGGGGCTGACACATATCAGGCCTGTTTCCCGCAGCAACTTATACCATTTGACTGCTCCTTGAGCTGTGATAAGAGATGCCTTTGCTCTCTGCATTAAGCTCTGAGCTATTCCAGTTGTCTAGGTGGTGACCCAGTGATGGGAGTCACTTGGACTTCCTGAAAGTGAGAATCCAGGAGAGTTACTAGTGTATTACAGAACTGGATTTCCAACCTCCAAATCTTGTCAGTACTCTCATTTGGTTACTTATAACCATGAGTGATTTGATTTTCAGTTACCGAGCTTATGCGTCTATCTCTTGTTGTACCAAAACCTTAAGGCCTCAGAGTTGGAATGAACTTTGGAGGCTTGGAACTGAATGCGAAGTAGAGCTTCTACTGACTGCTCAGAATTAACTCATTACCAGCTGGTTGTTCAACTTAAACTAGTGTGCCTGTATTCCAGTAGAAATGCCAGAAATGTATCACAAGGAGAAAAGGACCAATGTTGCTAATTCCATTACATCTCAAAAAAAAGTTTTGGTATTCTTGCTAGCTAGTTTCTTTAAAAAATTATTTTTGAATTCTTTATGGGTACATAGTAGGTGTATATATTTATGGAGGACATGATATATTTTGAAATAGGCATGCAATGTATAATAACCCCATCTGGGTAAATGGGGTATCTACCACCTCAAGCATTCATCATTTCTTTGTGTTAGCCAGTTGCTTTTACATTCATTTTTTTTGTGTGCATTTGTGAACCTTTCCAATCTTAAGTTTTACCTTTCATAAACTTACTTGTTGGGTAGGAGTGAACAAGTATCTGCAGAGAGAACCTGGGGTTGAGGCAGCTGGTTTGGGAAGGTTGGTGCAGACATTCTTAGGGATGGTCTTTTTTGTAAAGGACCAGATTATAAAGGTTTTAGACTTTATGGGCCACACGGTCTCTGTCAGTACCACTCAGTTCTCCCATAGACGATACATAAACCAATGAGCATGACTGTGTTTCAATAAAACTTTTATTTAATAAAACAGACAATGAGCCAAATTTGGTCTGTGAACCAGTTTGTTGACTCCTGATCTAGAGCATAGCTTTTCCTTTGGGAACCTAGAAAAAGTCTTGTTTTGAAAGTAGAAAAAACTATGGCTACTGTTTAAGTATTCTTCCTTTGAGATTTTATTACCTGCAAGGACTTTCTCATCTCTTGAACCTACAAAAGAACCTGGGTTGCTACTGGCAACCACTGCAGTAAGCCTTTTCCACTTTATCCTGGTCAAAATGGACTGCTGGAGGGTAGGGGGAGAATGGATAAAAACATAGTGATAGAGAGGATATACAAAGACAGGGAATGTGCTGGTAAGAACTGCACCATCTGTTTTGTGTTGAGTTGATCTTAAAACCCATTTTTATTGGTGAAATATCGTTTGGAATAGCAGCTATTTATTGATGTGTAGGTATGCAGATGTGTGTATGTGTGTGTATGTGTTACAATTTCCTATTTCCAATTATTTTTAATTTTAAAATTTGAGGTGTATTTGAAGTTCAGTGTTTTAGTAGGATAATTTTTCAGTCAATTAAAAAAAAATTTGTTAGGGACTTAGAAATATTGTATTTCTTTTTCTAACCAGAAACAACTCCTCTGTGACCTAGTTGGGATTTCACCCTCCTCTGAGCATGATGTGTTGAAGGAAGCTGTTCTTAAGAAACTAGGAGGAGACAATACCCAGTTGGAGGCTGCTGAATGGTAGGCACCCACCACTCAACTTAGAGCAAAATATACTGGATCAATGATTGCTAATTTCTACTCAGAAAAAGTTAAATATTTTACATTTGTCTTTGATTAATTCGTTGCTCTAATGTGGGTAGAGAGATTACCATGTGCCATGTTCATGTGGGCATAAAGAGTAGATAAAGAGAGGAGCTCAATGGCAATTAGAATTTGAGAAATGCTTATCTCGAAACACTTTACCACTCAGTTCCCAAGCATAGTGGGGTATTTTTGCTTTCCTGTAGGAGATTTGGAGTAGTCATAGAATATTACATGAAAACATTCTTTCATATGACCGCTGTGGCATCCTGCTGGTATACCTAATGTTGGAGAACTAACCTATAAATTAATCTCATAAAGATCTTTGTAAGAACATGGGATTACAATCCATCATCTCTGCCCTGCTCCAGGGAGCAGTGCCTGGGTGAGTCTGGAGAAGATTCTGAAGGTTAAAACATTGCTATTGTTATTGTTATTTTACATTTTAGGAGAATCCTACAACTTGAGTTACCACCTTGTAATTCTGCCCTTTCAAGATTAAATTCAAGGAGCTCCCTTTTGCTTCCCAAATGAGAACATGTATAGGACTTGAACTAATGCAGCCATCTCCTGTGCTTTTCAGGTTGGGCTTACTTGGGGATGAACAAGTTCCTCAGGCAGAGTCCATTCTGGATGCCCTCTCCAAGCATTTGGTCATGAAGCTTTCCTATGGTAGGCCATGAAGTATTAGCTAAATATACCTAAAGAAGAATCATAAGATAGAGTCAGTGCAGATAATCGTATTGGAGGGTTGGCCCCAAGCAGCAGGAATGGGAAGATGTGATATGAAGAAAAGGGCAATTGGACTATTTTTCCAGAGGGAGGAATTTGAGAATTATTAGGTAAAAATAAACTTAGTTATTATGGGAAAGGAAAAAATAGTTTTACTATTTATTTATTTAGTTAGTTAGTTAGTTATTTTTTGAGACGGTGTCTCACGCTATCACCAGGCTGGAGTGCAGTGGCTCCATCTCGGCTCACTGTACCTCTGCCTCCCAGGTTCAAGAGATTCTCCTGCCTCAGCCTCCCGAGTAGCTGGGACTACAGTTGCCTGCCACCATGCCCAGCTAATTTTTGTATTTTTAGTAGAGACAAGGTTTCACCATGTTGGCCAGGATGGTCTTCATCTCCTGACCTCGTGATCCGCCCACCTTAGCCTCCCAAAGTGCTGGGATTACAGGCATGAGCCACCGCGCCCGACATTACTTTTTTTTTTTAATGCATTAGGCAAATGCCAAAGAAGCATTTTTGGAGCACACTAAAAGGCCTCTATAGCAGCGCTTTTGTGTCTGTAAACAGGATATGGTGACATGAATCCGGATAAAGGAATGAGATCAGAGTTCTAATTTCCTTGAGGTTTTCACTTTGACTTTGGGCTAAAAAGCTGTGTAAATAATTGTCTAGTGATCATATATAAAAGGAGGGAAAACTTTTAAGACCAGAAGGGCAGGAGGAGATGACAGACAATATTTGAGTTGTAATGATAGTGGTATTTTTACTTATCTTTATTTGTTTTAAGGTCCTGAAGAAAAAGATATGATTGTGATGAGAGACAGCTTTGGAATCAGACATCCTTCTGGACATTTAGAACATAAAACGATTGATCTTGTGGCTTATGGGGACATCAATGGCTTTTCAGCCATGGCTAAAACCGTGGGGTTACCCACCGCCATGGCAGCCAAAATGTTGCTTGATGGTAAGTCTGTTCATTTGAGGTGTAAGCCTGTTTCTGTTTCACCTCCAAGCCATTTGGTGCCTGGACATCAAGTAATTGCTCTTGAGCGTAACACAGGCATTTACTAAAAGTGAACCATCTTAGAAGATCCAAGCGCGGACTGCCTGGGAGGTCCCCTTTTGATGAGTAAAGCATGTGGGCTTTGGAGATAGACCTGACTTCCGCTTCCGCTCAGTTCCAAGGTGGCTGAGTGATGGGCTGCAAGTTACTCAGCACCTTTGAGCAAGAGTTTCCTCATATTTAAAGTGGGTATTGCCATCCCTGTTTCAGAGTTGTTGTGACACTAACTGATATAATACATGAAGCTGCTACCTCATAGAGGGGTCCCCAGGGAATGGTAACTTCCTTCCTTTCTTTCTTTGGTTTTTGCCATGTTGGGAGTGATAACTCTAAAATAGAAAAAGATATTCACTCCAGATTCTCAAGAATATAGGTTAAGTTTTATTAGTCTTCATATCTCAGCATATTATTAGTACTCAATAAATATTTTAGACTAAATGAATAAAAATTTCATTCCTCCACTCTCCCTAGAAGATCACATAGACATTCAATAAGCATTGCCTCTGTTTGACCCTCAAGAAAGAATGAGGGGAGTAGAAAATATCAAAGCATATAAATGTGAAATAATGAAAAAAAAATGTATAGTAGCATATCAGCTAATGTCAAATTAAATGACCAACTTAGTTATTGAGGAATCAATGAAGAAGTAAGTGATAAAAGTTGGGGTCATTGTGGCCTCTAGTGAGAGTGCCCAGGTTCTGTGTTTCAGTCATACTAACAGGTGCCTGTGCCCATATAATCAAACCTGTTACAACTCATTCTGTTGGTGTCTTGCCTTTTTTAAAAAAAAATGACATTAGCAAGTTAAGCTGACCAGTCAGATTTACTTTACTTCTTACTTTACTTTGTTCTCTGATTGTCCTGGCAGAAATTAATGCAGTTAAGTGTACAAGTTCTGACAATATCCCTAGGTCCGGCTGTGCTTTCAATCTAAAATCAACTCCTTTTCCTTACAAAGTGTTGAATAAGTAATAATTTACTAAGGGACGTTTTTAAGCAGCTACTTAAAAAATGCCTAGGCCTCCAAGAATTCATTGACTCTGAGTTTGCTTCTTTGTGGAGACTCTTGATGGGGAAATTAACCTCTGACACAACCTTTGAAATGGTAATTACACATTTATTTTCTTCCAGGTGAAATTGGAGCCAAAGGCCTAATGGGGCCCTTTTCAAAGGAGATCTATGGACCAATATTGGAGCGAATTAAAGCAGAAGGCATTATATATACTACACAGAGTACAATTAAACCATAATTGGGAATTATATTTTGTTTTTTTCTTCCCAGGCAATACACCTCTGAACATGTGTGTGATAAATGGGTTTGCTAATGTGCTGTTTTAAAGTATAAAGCATAATATGTTTTGGTTAACACAATGTACTTTTTGAACTATAAATCTTTATTTTAATATGGAAATGTTTGGAACAGGAGATGCAAGCCACTAACAGAGAACTTTAATAATTCTACCCTGTATTTTATAAATACGTATGTGAAAGTGATGATCATGCTATTTGTTAATTTATTGTGCCACTTTTTTTCTTTTGTTTTTTTTTTGTTGTTGTTGTTTTTTGAGATGGAGTCTCGCTCTGTCACCCAGGCTGGAGTGCAGTGGCGCGATCTCGGCTCACTGCAAGCTCCGCCTCCTGGGTTCACGCCATTCTCCTGCCTCAGCCTCCCAAGTAGCTGGGACTACAGGCACCCGCCACCACGCCCGGCTAAATTTTTTGTATTTTTCAGTAGAGACGGGGTTTCACCATGTTAGCCAGGATGTCCACTTTTTTCTTAAATGAACATATTGTCTTATAACCAGCAAATGAAGTTTTACTTTTTTAGTCAGAAAAAATTTCGTCATAAAGCTATATTTTTATATTTTTAAAATTGATACAGTTAGATACCTTCAGATTACCTAAGTTAAGTTTTTGCCAAAATGCTATTTTATGCCCTTTTTGTAAAGTTATGATTTATTTTGTAAATATAGTTCCTTATAGTTTTCTCTTGAGTGTTTGGACATGAGAATAGATAAGATTAAATTACAATTTACAAGATCACTTCATTAGGCACAGGAAAAGTATTTAACAAAATTCAACACCCTTTCACAATAAAAAATAAAAAATAAAAAACCCTCAACAAACTAGGAATAGAAGGAAACTTCCTCAACCTGATAAAGGGCATCTATGAAGAACCCATGGTTAGCATCATACTTAATGGTGAAGGACTGGATTATTTCCCCCTGAGATCAGAAACAAGACAAGGATGTCTGCTTTGGCCATTTCTATTCAACTTGTACTGGACAGTCAAGAAAGGGCAATTAGGCAAGAAAATAAAATAAAAGTCATCTAGGTTGGAAAGGAAGAAGTATAACTAAATAGAGATGGGAGACGATATGGTGGTTTTGTGCATAGTAATCCAAGGGAAAACTATAGAAAATCCAAAGGCATGATTTATTAATAAATAAATTCAGCAAAGTTACAGGATACAGGATTAAATATGCAGAAATTGGTTATCTTTCAATATAGTATCAATGAATAAATCAAAAATGATGTTAAGAAAACAATTTAATTTTCAACAATGGTCAAGCTTGGTGGCTTGTGCCTGTAATCCCAACACTTTGGGAGTCTGAGGCAGAAAGACTGCTAGAGGCCAGGAGACCAGCCTGGGAAACAGTGAGATCCCATCTCTACAAAAACAAACAAACAAAAAACAACAAGCAAACAAAAAACAGCTGGATGTGATGACACTCATCTGTCGTCTCAGCTACTCAGAGGCTGAGGTGTAAGGATGGCTTGAGCCCCAAAGTTCGAAGCTGCAATGAGCTATAACTGGGTCACTGCAATCCAGCCTGGATGACAGAGTTAGACCTTGACTCAAAAAAAACAAAAAAGAAAAGAAAAAAATTGACAGCATCAGAAAGAGTAAAATACCAATATAATTGAGGGTCCAGAAATATTGATCACATTTATCATCAACTGACTTTTGAAAATAGTGCTAAGACAATTCAATGGGGGCAAAATAGTCTTTTTCATTAAATGATGCTTGGAAACATGGATATCCACATGCAAAATAATGAAATTGGACTCCTACCTCATATTGCATATAAAAATTAACTCAAAGTTGACCTAAGATCTAAATGTAAGAGCTAATATTGTAAGTATCTTCAAAGAAAACATGGCGTAAATCTTTCTGACTTTGAATTAGGCAATGATTTCTTAAATAAATGACACTAAAAACACAAGCAACAAAAGAAGAAAATAGGTAAATTAAAATTAAAACCATTTGTGTTTCCAAGGACAATATCAAGAAAGCAAAAATACAACCCACAGAATGAGATAATTTTTTTTAAAATCATGTATTAGTTAAGGGAGGAATTTGTATTTAGAATATGTAAAGAACTGTTACAATAATAATTAAAAGGCATATAATTCAATTTTTAAAAATCAACAAGAGATCTGAATTAACAGTTCTCCAAAGAAGATACACAAAAGGCCAATAAGCACATGAAAAGGTTCTCAACATCACTAGCCATCAGGGAAATGCAAATGAGATCTACAATGAGATATCACTTAACACTCACTGGAATAGATATATAATCAAAGTGATAATATCAAGTGTTGGTGAGGATGCAGAGAAATTGGAACCCTCATGCACTGTTGGTGGATACCCACGTGATATAAAAACAAATGTCTACACAAAAACTTGTGCACAGATGTTCTTTGCAGCATTATTTATAATAGCCCAAAATTGAAACAGCCCTAATTTCTATCAACTAACAAGTGAATAAACAAAACGTGGCATATCCATACAAGGAATATTATTCAGCAATAAAAAAAGAGATGAAGTACTGATATGCACCACAACATGGAAAAACCTTGAAAACATATCAAGTGAAGAATGCCAGACATGAAAGGCCACATATTATATGATTTCATTTATATGAAATGTCCAGAACAGGCGAATATATATAGAGAGAAGGCAGATTAGTGGTTGCTTAGGCTGAAGGGTTGGGGAGGACAAAGGGGTGACTGCTAATTAGTATGGGGTTTCTTTTTTGGGGTGATGTAAACGTTGTAAAGTTGATTGTGGTAATGGTGGCACAACTCTGAATATACTAAAAACCACTGAATTGTATACTTTGAATGTTTGAACTGTGTGGTATGTAGATTTTATCTCAAGTTGTTATAAAAAATTAAATTACAAATGCAATTTGTTTGTTTGCTTCTTGGGGAAAAATCTCTTGCCTTTAGAGATACAAAGTAAGCACCTTTTTAACCTTCACAAATTGTGCTCATATCCTGGCACGTGAAACTAATTCTGCCCTTGAAAGAAGCAGGTACTACATGTGAGGTATATGACAGTTGAGAAAACATCTCCTGCTATTTGAAAACAATCAAAATTGATTAAGGCCTGGTCCCACCTGTCACAGATAATATATGGAGATCAATAATCTATTAATAAGTAAAAACATTTTGTTGTGGAATTTTTCTTACCATGACATTCAGTTCGACCCAATTGATTAGGAAATACAACTCGTGTCATATTGATTTCACTATCTAAAACGGCGCCCAGATTAATTGGGAACTGAGAAACTAGCACTTTGTGTCAGAACTGGGATCCAGTTGAGCTCTCAGTGTAGTTAACTAGTTTGTGCTTTATGATGACAATGAGAATTAAAGGGGATTTGATTTGAAGAGCTGATTTAATGTTAGTGTTAAACGTGGTAATAGAAAAGGCAATGTCAGTAAGCTTGAATACAGCTATATGTAATTAAACACTACATTATCCCTCAATAACAAATTTTCCTGCAGTACCTTTAATAATAAAGGTGGTGGTGCACATGTTCTCACTCATAGGTAGGAAATGAACAATGAGAACACTTGGACCCAGGAAGAGGAACATCACACACCGGGGCCTGTCGTGGGGTAGGGGAAGGGGAGAGGGATAGCATTAGGAGATATACCTAATGTAAATGACGAGTTAATGGGTGCAGCGCACCAACATGGCACATGTATACATATGTAACAATCCTACACGTTGTGCACATGTACCCTAGAACTTAAAGTATAAAATAATAATAAATGTGGTGGTGATAGGATTTGGGAATGAATGAGCAGGTTATGGTTATAGGCATATCAACATATAGCTTCACCAGGAGTCCACAATTATTTTTCTGTGAAAGTCAGATATAAACATTTTAGGCTTTGCTGACCAAAGATATCACAACTGTTTATTTCTGCCTATATATTATGAAAGCAGCCATAAACAGTACATAAATGAATGGGCATGGCTGTGTTTCAATAAAACCTTATTTGCAAGAGCAAGTGATAGGCAGACGTGACCCTCGAGCCAGTTTGTGGGCCCTTGGTCTAACCATTCTGGTAGACTTAATGCTCACATGTTTCAGATCTTTCTGCCTCTTTTGTTCTTTTTTAGATAATACCAATATTTGTATTATCCATTTTTCCTTGTTCTAGGTTAAAGAGACACTAGATCATACTACACAATGTGAATGGCTCTACAACATACTAGCTGTTCTCTTCTTTATGAAATGAGGATAACGGTAACTCCCGGGATGATTATAAAAATTAATGAGATAATGAGAGAGAAATGCTTGCCACTTAGTAGATGTTAAAAAACACAAGTGGGTTGTTCTTCTCTCTTTTACAATACAGTTTTTGCCTGAAGTTTATGTTTAGTTAATACGATCTTAACTTTGATATATTTTTTCAATTTCTTGGATACCTTTGGAAGACTCCTCAAAGATCCATGCCGCTTAAACAAGCCATAGATTTATCTGCTACATAAAGTGGTTGAAGAGATGAAAAAGACCACAACAATCATTTGGCCAAGCCTCTGACTTCAGAGAAGAGAAAATGTGCCTCATAAAGTTAAATGACTTGCCTCAGGTGATAAGACTTAATGTTGAAATTTGATCATCATTTGGAGACACTCAAAATACTTGAAACAATTTGGGAGCACCCTGATTTTTAAAACATCTTCTAGGATGGATGACTTAGGGCCCACCACTAGTCCATATGGTGTCTTTTTGAAAATTAGAACAAGGCATTCCTTCTCAAGACACTTCTACTGGTCAAAAAATTGTTCCTAAATATACAATGTATTAGAGTAAAACACTTTGCTACCCTCTAATGGAAAATTGCTATTGTGAATACAGAAATCTTTAACGTCTATGATATGATTAGTTCTCCTTTAGATGCAATGCGTAATTTACACATCTGTGCAAGGTAATCTTATCTTTATGTTTTGTATAGTGTTAGTGGCTTACATTTGCTGATTGTTTGCAGTGGAACTACATCTACCAGATCTGAACTCCAGTGGAAGGAATCCAGTGAGAAAAGCTGGCTGTTCTGGAGTGATACTTGTTAGTTACTGACAATTAATCTAATAACTTCCTTTTTCCAATCTTGTTTTAGTCCTAATACCCATTCTTAATTTTCATTAATTAGCAAGAATTACAAAACACAGTCCTAACTTTTTAGATCAAGAGGTTACATCCTCCCGGTTTAAGTTGTCAGTGTAGTAAAATCGAAGGTTTCTAGTACCTTCTAGTTTCATGTTAATTGACAGTGTGTGCTACATCACCAGCTAACAAATTCATAAACCCTGGGAATCCCACTCCCAGCCTGAGAGCTCATGAAGCTGAATTGATATTGCGCTCCTCTTTGTTACATTGGAGATGATTCTGGGCTGTTGCCAGGCACAACTAACCAGACCCTTGGCTCCAATAATCTGAGCCTGATTCACAGTGAACCTGGCACAGGGTAAAACAAACCCCCATAGAAACCTCATAACCTTGACAAAGAAAAAAATCATGCTTGCCTTAATAGCAAACTATTGATAAAAGATTTATTCTCCTTGAGAGAAATAATTAAAAGGAGGTAGAAGTCAAATGGGAGCTGGGAAAGTAACTGAAATAGGTGCTGTAAAACCTGGGGAAGACCAACAGAAAAGATGAGAGAATAGCAACTCCCAGGGGCATGGATTGTTCATACTTTGCAATGTTAGAAAATGTTTGGCTGCCACGGTGGTTCTGTTTAGTTCTGGACTATGAATCTGGTGAAAATTGTGCAAATGGTTCATCATGTAAGATGCTTAATAAAGATGGTGATGCTTTGCATCCTCTTATTTATCTGTCCATATGGTAATTATTGATGTTTTTCGGATTTCTTCTCTGGCTTTTTTTTTTCTCTCTCTCTCTGTGTTCTTCCTGGGTGCATGTATCCTACCCATGGCATCGAATGCCACCTACGTCTTAAATCAATCCCAATTTTCTCACCTGAGCTTCAGATTATCTGTACTACTATCTACTTGACATCCCTGTTCAGATATTTCCAAGACTTCTTAAACTCAATGTAAATTTAAAAATTTATACTATAAATTAGTGTTTCTCAATGGGGCCAAGCTAGGACTGCTAAATGGATCCTTCATGTGATTACTCATTTCAGGAACTGGCAACCACTATCACCCTAGTTGCTCTCTATATAATCCTTGATGCTCTCTTTTCTCTCACTTCCACATTCACCAAATCAGGACTTTCTCTTCTCTATTAAACGTATTGGCTCCAAGTCTTTCTACCCACATACAACTTGTCTTGGTCAGGCTGCTATTATATTTTATATGGATCATTGTGACAGTCTTTCACCTGGCCTCCCTCTCTCCAGAATTACTCCCCTAATGACCATTCTTCTCACAGTAGACACATTAATCTTTCAAAACTGCAAATATGGTCATGTTCTTACTCTCAGCTGTCTCCCCATTCCTCCCAGGATAAAATTCAGACGTATTATAGCCTCCAGGGCTCAGCATAAATGTCCCCCTGTATATCTTTATAGTCTCATCTCATCATTGCCCACCTCCTTACAAAATATTATCCAATTCCTGAACTTCCTTCACCTCCTTGAATAGACTTGCCCTTTCTTGTTTTTGAGCCTTTTCTGGTTGTGTTTTTTTACCCATTCATCTCCTCCTAACCTTTTACCTGGTTAACTCCTAGTCCTCTTTTTAGGTTGTAGCTTAGAAGTTACTTTCTTGAGGATTCACAAGTGTAAGGTATTTCTAAAGGACCCTATACTATTTTTTTCATAACACGAATTACTCTGTGATTTCATTGACTGTAGGCTTTTGAAAATATGTGGAAGATTTTTCGTTGTTACAGACTTGGGGCAGGGTGTTGCTGACATCTGGTAGGTGAAGGTGAAAAACAATAAATCCCCACTGAAAGAAGCCACTCAGAGCAATCAGTTTCCTTAATTTATTAAGGCATCATATAACTGTAAAGCCATTTCAGATACCTTTGCATTTTAATTTGCTTTGATGATAATGATTATGTTAATATTATCATCCCTTTCAAATCATGGGTGGGTCTATTTGTGCATCAATAAAAGCAGTCTTTGATTTCCCTTTCCAAGGTCAATAGATAAATAAATAAATAAATAAATCCCCGCTGAGTCATACACCATACAGACAAAACTATTTCTAGCACACCAGTTGCACTCACATCTTGGCCTTACCATCACACTGCACACTTTGGACTTCCAACCGTCAGCCTCTCTTTGCCTGAAGGCTTTCTTTGACAGTGAAAACTCTCTTTGCTCATAATCACAGCAGCCCAGAAATGCCAGGAATTGTGACCCTCCTCACTTCCAGTCTCTTCAGCCAACCAATGACCCATGGGAGCTGATATATCAATAGGCTAGCTCGTTAGATTTTTGGATGGGATAATTTGGATGTGGATGTCTTCTACTGGCTCCCAGAATTCTACAAAGGGATTATATTCCAGTTATCCACTTGAGGAACTTGACTGATACTACATCTGTTATCAGCTGTCTTTCCTTCCCTGACTCATTTTCCTCCTGACAGGCATTAAATTCTTGTCACAGGTTCTGCTTCTATAGCAATCCAAACTAAGATTCCACTAGACTCCAATGTATCCTCAACACCTGTCACGGTGCCTAGCACATAGCAGAAATTATATATACATAAATATATATAATACTGTATAAATTTGCTATATATATAATTTTAATTATATATAATTGTACCATATATAATTAATTATATCATATATAATTGCTTGTTTTATATATATAAATAATTATATATAATTTCTGAACAGAGATGTCAATTTATGTATAACTATATACAATTAAAATTATACATAAAAACAAACAATTATGGCATATATATGGTATGATTATTTAATTCTGGCATATACAAATATTGCAGAATAGTACTGACATTTAAAAGCCATGGTACGAAGATGTGTTGAAGGTTGAGGTGGAGATAAGGGAAAGTTGTTACAGGCTTGGCTTGTATGTAATGCAGCTTTAGGTTATATTTGAACATTGGATAGTAATGCTAAAGAGACACATTCTTCTCTATCATTTTTTTCCTTCTTGGAGTTTGTGTGAAAATTTCCCCAAAACATGAGGGTGGGTAAAGAGCATCAGTATGAGTCTGAGCCAGCCCTGACTATCAACATCATTGTGTAACCATAGGTTTAGGTCATTTCATGGTTGACATTACAGGGGGCTGATAGGATCAGCTTTATGCTTCTAAAAGATTTATTCGACTGAGTGTTGAGAATGAATCAGGGAAAGGGGAAAGAGCCAGAAGAAGACATATTCTGAGGCTACTGCAGTATCAGAAGAAAAGATACTTGAAAAAATGATTGGATGGTCATAGCATCATTTAGACCATTCTTTTCCAGTTTGCTGAATTTGGAGCAGGGAGCAGAAACCACTCTAGGTATTTTAAAGAAAACTTCATACAAGGCACGAAGACCAAGAGTGTATACACATAGCTAGGGTCCCAGGATTGGGAAGCTAGAATCAGAAGCTACTGCCCTTGCTGCCATGGTTCCAAAATTAGGTACTAGAACCCTGTTGCAGAAAAATTATATCTTTATAATCTTCTTACCAGCAGGGTCCAAGAGGGCAGGAAGAGGGCTTCTGTGAATTTCTGTCTTCTAAATCTGTGTAAGGGCATTTCCAGGGTAGCCAGCAAGTCAGAAAGCATGAATAAATATATGATAAATCATTTAATATTACATTATAATGCATGGTAAAATAACATTGTGTTTCCAGACCTGTGACTCCCTGTATGTGGTGGAACATACTTCATCCAGGACCCTAGCTGCGAAGCAGTCTGGGAAATAAGAGTTGCTAGCATTTTAGGCTTTGAAGTGTAGGAAGTGTTCTAGTTACTATTGCTGTGTAACACACTACCCCAAAATGTAGTGTCTTAAAACAGTAGTCACTTATTTTGCTCATCAACCTATAATTTGGGCATGACTCAGTGCAAACAGCTGGTCTCTGGTCCATGTAGTGTCACTTGAGATGTGTTGATACAAAGTTGGAGAATCCATTTCATGACAGCTTGCCTACATAGCTGACAAAATGGTTCTGCCTGGAAGCTCATCTGGAGCCGTGGGCCAGGGCCTTGGTTTCTTTGATGTAGGTCTTTCCATGGCTATGCAGCTTTGACACAGCATGGTGGGGCTGCTCCAGGAGCAAACATTCCAAGAGAATCAGGCAGAAACTGATTCTTTTGTGACTTGGGCTTGGAAGTCACATAGCATCACTTTCACCATAGATCCAAGAGGAGGGACCATAGACCCTGCTTCTCAATGGGATGAGTTTCAAAGAGTCACATACAGGACAGAAGATAGATACTGTCTGGCTGTTTTTGGAAAATATAATTTGCTGCAGAAAGGTTCCCTAGAGGGTGAGTGGCTGTGAATACACAGAGATTTACCCTAGTTAATCTTTCTCATTGGCCTTGTCAATATTTCCTCAACGGCCTTAATAATTATTTTAACAGTTCATTTTCTTCTCTAGGTGTTTTATTGATTCTTTTTATGTATCCCCTTGGACATAAAACTAGAATGCCATGTAGACAAAATGTGGAACTTTTTTCATTTAACATTCTTTAAAAAGCCCAGGAAACATACAGTTTTAACTTCCTAAGTCTCTTAAGTTACTTCCTTGAAGGTGCTATAACAGACTTTGCTATTTTAATATTTTTCATAAAGAACTTTAATGCTGATAGTTTTCACTACAAGGCTTTATTAAATAAATTAGCAATGAGGATAACAATTACTTGCATCAGTTCATCTCTTTGTATGGATAATTCAGAACTAAAGCAACTCTCCTAGGATTGAAGCAAGATAATAGAAATCTGAGAGATACTGGGAATGGCTCATGCAAAAGTAAAATATTTCAAATTAGCGTATTTGGAGCAGTTCTCTAAGGTCAGTCTGTGCTTCTTGTGGCCTGCTTAGAATGTGTCACAGCTGATGGACTGATAATTTTCTGTATGTAACAAGAAGTTTCAATTTAACACCTACAGTTTTTCTTACTCCCACTTCCAAATCTTATTTTTTTAAAAATGTTTTTCTTAAAAAAAAAAACAAAAAACCCTTGGTAACTACAATTTAATGTCAAGGATGTTTAGATTCTTAAAACTGGTGCAGTGTCTTACATTTATATGTCTTAACATTTAATGCCACCCTAACACACCCATATCATACTAATGAGGAAGAGATCTCTAATGTACCAGAATATGTTGCAATTAGCAAATGAATGATAATAATCAATCATGGTTTATAATATTAAAAAGCATGTTTTGTTTATCTTGACAAATGTGCAGATTTTCCATTTTCCCTAAAGAGTTAAGTTCAATTCAATAAATGCTTAATATTTCTGATGCGCTATTTGTAAGCAGAATTCAATTCTAATATCACATTTTTAAATTTATCTGCTAGTAAAGAGATTATAGTTTCCAAGTTTTGTGTATTAGAGAAATAGCCTGTCATAATAGGTACTAAGAGATTTGAGGCTTTCAGATAAGAAATACTAAAATTCAGTAAGATTTTCACTGTATAATTTGAGCAGAACATGCATCTGTTAAATGTTTGCATTGATTTTACATGAAGAAGCTGCTGTCACAGTATCTCAAGAAGTATCATATTGGAACTATGATGGACTCTGTAGTCCTTATGGAGGTAGCTAAAGGGATGGATTATGCTCCTGATTAATACTACTTTTGAGGTTTCAAAACTGCTCTCCATGATTTAAAACTGGAGATGCATTAGAACTTCCTTTTTCAACTGGAGTAATTTACAAAGGTGTTACCAAAGAAAAAAACTAAGAACAGATATTTTGCCAAAACTAGTAAATTTATTATGTTAAGTAACATCGCCTATAAAGTGTCAGGTTTACAAGGAAAGGACTATTAAAAAGAGTATTTTCCTTTTAGGTAAAAATCAATGCATTCCTTTTTTCATTCACCTAAAATACTGTGACTGCTGTTAGTGTGCCAGGCACCGTTCTACATGTGGGGATATGAGGTTAACAAAAGAATCAAGACTCCTCTTCTCATGGAGCTTATATACGAATGAAAGGGAAAAATAACAAACAAATATAATGTCAGAAAACAAGGAGTGTTATGGATAAAGATAAAGCATGATAAAGAGACAAAGAGGGCCTGATGGGAGTGGCGGAGAGACAGGCTGACATTCTGCTGGTGCGGATGACTCAGTCTCTTCTGATGGTTACTGCTAAATATTTTGAATCTCCTTCGTGAGAGGAGGGAATGCCACTTCAGACAGGCTGATCAGAGAATGCTTCTCTGAGGAGATATTTGAGCAGAGACCTGAACCCATGAGTGGAACAATAGGACTCTAATACCCTGCCAGTGGAGGTCTCAACAGCCTAACTCTTTTGGAAAGTGAAAGAGTAGTAAGGTAAAAATGTTCATACTATCTGCTCCCCCAAATAACACAACAATTGGTCCTGAGGAATAATCCTAAACCTGATGAAAAGCTTTTCTGCACAAATAAATGTTTATCATTGTATTGTAATAGGAAGGATTCGAAAGAGCCAATATTAGGGGCCGGGCGCGGTGGCTCATGCCTGTAATCCCAGCACTTTGGGAGGCTGAGGCAGGCAGATCACGATATCAAGAGATCAAGACCATCCTGGCCAACATGGTGAAACCCCATCTCTACTAAAAATACAAAAATTAGCCGGGCATGGTGGCCCGCGCACCTGTTGTCCCAGCTACTCGGGAGGCTGAGGCAGGAGAATGGCATGAACCCGGGAGGCGGAGGTTGCAGTGAGCTGAGATTGCACAACTGCACTCCAGCCTGGCAACACAGTGAAACTCCGTCTCCCAAAAAAAAAAAAAAAAAAAAGAAAAAAACAACAAAACAAAACAAAAAACAACAACAACAAAAAAACAAACAACAACAAAAAACCAATATTAGGAAAATGATTATAAGACCCATAGTGTAAGAACAGGGTTTCTCTGTCTTGGCACTATTGACATTGTGTTCTGGGTGATTCTTTGTTGTGAGGACTGTCCTATGCATTGTTGAATGTTTGGTGGCATCTCTGGCTTCTACCCAGTAGTTGCCAGTAGCACCCCTCACCCTCTGGCCAGTTGTAATCATCAAAAATATCTCCAGACATTGCCAGACAGTGTCAAATGTCCCCTTCTTTGAAACTGCTATACTGAATGAAATATTATATAGCCTTGGCAAAGGTAGGCTTATAGATTATGTGTAATAAAAAATGCCTATATCACTATAAAAAGAAGCATAAAAACATATTCACAATGAGAACACAATTATAAAAATAAAACAATATATGGAAAAAAGCTGTGAGTGTGTTAAACACAAGGAATGAAATTTTGGTGTTGGATGGAAAAATCGAGTGATACTTACCTGACCGACTTACCTGGCTTCATTTATTTTCATTTGTCTCATAGCTGATTATTGCCTCAGAGTTAAGGATCAAGGAAAGAGAAAATGTTGCTGTATCTGACAGGAATTTTCTTTTTAATCTGTTTCAGAATATATTTATTAACATTTATATAAGAATGCATAACTGATATGATATACATGTTACTGCATAATTATTTTCTGTTGGACAAGACTCTGTAAGTCACATTACTAAATAAATAACCTTAAAGGGTAAAAAAATTCTGTATCTCCTCAAAGGCTGCTTGTTCCTGGGACAAAGGCTAAGGGAAAAATAGACAAAATAATTGAGGTGATATGTATTACTGATTCAGATCAGCTCATGATTAGACATTGTGGGTGGTGATAAAACAAAACTGTAAAACAAGAGGACAAGGAGATAAGGTTAGAAAAGCAACAAAGGAATTCAAAATTAACCTTGTGTCCTTCCTCTCTGGGAGGAGAAATAAGAAGTACATTAATTCTTTTTGTACCTTGTAGAGTGGTGCTTATCACCATTTGGGGATTTGTCACACTACTATTTATGAGATTTTTTTGTGTGTGCCTATTTCTATTTCATATCTCCCATGACTATTGCTTTAAAAGAAAAGCTCCCATAAAAAGGAAAGCTAATTAATTTTAGCTCTATTTTAAAGACATTGTGAAAATTTCTTGATATTGCTTGAGGTAACTGGAGGCTCCCTGAAGTGTTGTTGCTATAGAGCAATGGTTCTGAAACTTTAGCATTCATTAGATTGTTGGGCCCTAGCCCCCAGAGTTTCTGACAGATGGGAATCTGAGAATTCCATTTCTAACAAGTTCCCTGATTTTGTCCATGCTACAAATCTGGGAATCATATTTTGAGAGCCACTGGTTTAAACAAAACTTCTCTAGCTTCCTGTTCTGGGCCCTGAGCTGAGCATTCTTAGGGAACAGTGAGCTCCTTTGTAGGTAGTATTATAAAACACTCCTGGCAGAGGCAGGGGACTGCTGCAAGCATCAAAGTCTGCTTGATACTAATGATTCCATTTTCCTGAATTTCAGTTCCATGTGGCTCTTGGATCTTGATGATTTGCTCAACATGGGACCTCTTCTCTTTTTCCATTCTGGAATTTTTTTTTACCTCGTAGTCCTTGTCTGTCTATGCCTTTTCCAATCCCCTCCTTGACCTTTGCTTATATTGGAGTCTCTGACTAGCAAATCTGCCTACTTCTAACTTCCAGCTAGTTTCTAAATCGGAAGTTCCCAACATTTCTTGGTACATGATGCTCTTAATTCATCAGTAACATTTTCAGAATTCTGTGTCTTGGTCCATTCAGACTGCTGTAACAAAATACCATAAATATGGTGGCTTATAAACAAACATAGATTTATTTCTCACACTTCTGGAGGCTAAGTTCCGAGATCAAGGTGCCCGCAGATTCGATGTCTGGTGAAGGCTTGCTTTCTTATAGACAGCTGTCTTCTCATCATAATCTCACACATCGAAAGGGGTGAGGGGTCTCGCTCAGGCCTCTTTTATAAGGACACTAATCTCATTTATGAGAGCTCTGCCCTTATGAACTAATCACCTCCCAAAGGTCCTACTTCCTAATATTATCACCTTGAGGGTGAGGGGATAAATTGTCGGGAGACATAAACATTCAGATCATAGCACTCCCCAAGCCAAAAGAAATACATAATTGTTCTGTTCATTAAGTAGTAAAGTTCAAATAATTTAATAGTAAAAGTTTGTGCAGTGTCTGCACATGTTGCTGTGTTTTCCTCACAAATGGAAAGTTTTGTACTTCCCTGTGCACCTCAATGCACAGTTTGGGACCCACCACTCTAAATCCTGTCCCATCCTACTAGCTGTTTTTTGTGTGTGTGTGTGCCATCATCATAGGGGGACCCACATCCACAATTTTCTGCCACACACGCTTCAGCACAATGCTCCACAAGCAAACACAAATTAATGGCAATATTTATATTTATTTTTGCAATTCCTTGGATAAAAACCATTTGAACAATGTTTGGTAAGGTGTTATTCTCATAAAAACTTCTTTCAAAATGAAGGTATTTCTATTTTCCACAAAAGTTAAAATTACATGCTGAAACAAAGTTAATGACTTAGGTAACACAATACAATGTCAGAAAACTGGTAGAGTAAGACCAGCTAATGAACTACGTCATTAAACTAAACAATTACACAGAACTAGAAAACTTGACTCAGTAGTAAAATATAAAAATCTACAATTATAAATATAAATTTGGTCCATGGAGACACTAGGGCAGTATTTACAATAAGTAACAGATTATTTCTACTTTAGGTGAATACTGCAGTTGTAAAATGTTGAATATCATATGGAAGAGTGTTTTATTTACAGGCTACTGTATTAAAAGTTATATTTCTAGCAAACCTGATAATTGCTACAAATACAGCTAAAAATTTGACACTAAAAACAAACATTTTCTGTAGTTTGGAATTCCTAACCTCTATAAATTGAAATTTTCTGTTAAAATCAATACAGAAAAAAATACCACAATTCCATTCTTAGAAATACTGTAAAATTCAATCATTTTAGTTCAAACATAATAAGTAAATTACAAGTCTTGCAAAAAGGCACACATTGTTAATGATATAAATTTGGCGGCAGAATCCTATGTCATGAAAGTTACTGTCAGGTGATGGGAAATCAACAGATAACAGAACTAGACTGATTTTCCTGCCTAATTTTAGGAAGAGGAAAACAATGCTCAGATGTGAGTTCCCCCACCCCTTTCTGTGTTAAACTAAAGACTCTAAGCTCTCAGCTATATTTCCATCAGGCAATGCTGCACCATTACTGTCCAGAGAGGTGGATGGATTCTCTTCCTGCCTTGTGCTCACAAGGCTGAGGATCACTTTGTAGAGAAACTGATACTGCTCCTAGAGAACAGAAGATGGGAGGTAATAAATGCGAAGCTCAGTGAAGACATACATTTGTAAAAAGAAGAAATATTTTTAGACACACTTCAGCACTGTTCATGAAAGGGCAATGTGTTAAGGGCACTGTTATACTCAGCAGATGCACACAACCTATACTGATGTCTCTTCTGATTAAATTAACGTTGCAATCGGCAGACCATTCACTGACCTAGAAAATTAACCTACATACATTTGCCAATAAGTACTTAATTCTTATTCATGAAATCAGAAGGTGATGAGACAGGGTTCTGTTAACTTGTGGGCGAAACCGTTTGGCACTGGACATCTGTAACTCACTCAGAAACAAGTTTCTTCTTTCTCTACTTGTTAGAAAATCCATTGGGTCTGCCTCTTTACGGAAAGATCTCAGGAATGACTGTACTGTTAGCCCAGGAACCCATGTAGAATGCAATCCTTCACTGTTCACCAATAAGAAGAATTTCACATTCTATCAGCCCAACTGGTCCTATGCCCTGCTATGAGCAAAGGTAAGTACCTTCTCTGCTGTGGTCTCAGAGCAGTGGCACATAGAAGCATGAAACAGTTTTTCTCTTACAGATGCCATCTCAGGCAGTTTGGGGAGAGGTAGCTACAGAGAACCTGAACCAGTGAGCAGCATCATAGCCGAAAACCATGAGGCCTACATGTGACGCAGTGCATAATTAAATGCTTTCGCGAACTGTGCATCTCCAGAAAGGAGTTTCATGCAGCACAAGCTTGATACAACTCAGCGGCCCCGAATAAGACTTATTAGGGGCTCCTCTGCAGTGCATGTGCATGAAGATAACTTTGACCTCCTGCCAACTGGTCTAGGCTGGAGCTTTGAAGAAGGTCCCTTTATAAGGCCCTTAAACAGACCAAAGAGCTGAAGGTGAGCCTATGACTTCTACATTCACCTAAGCTTATTTGCATTGTTTACTATTGTGCACAAAGGCAAACATGAGATTTAAAAGTTTTTATCCATAAATTTTCTGAAGTATAAATTTTAAATGTTGTTGTTCTATGGATTGTGGACTTGTAATTCAGCTTGAAAACTACATACTAATGTTATCAGTTAATAAGATCTTTCTTGATACATAAGATTTCAGCAGCCTCTAGGAAGTTAGTTGTACTCTATCAGTGAAAAATTTCGTTCACTGCCTTGTTACTTACAATGTCAGCAAAGACTCCTGGCCTCATCAGATTGATCATCTTGGCTACCTGGTAAACATCCACGGAATTTTCTTTTTCTAGTTGGTGCATAAGGGTTGTCAGAGCACAGAAAGTTCCTGCCGTCACTCCTCCATGCCTTGTAAAAAAAAAAAAGAAAAGGAACAAAGACTCCATTGAGATGCACCACTCACATTTAGAACTCACAAAGCATATAGCCTTGACAACTTTGCAGTGAAAACACTGAAACTTTTAATGAATTGTCTCTCTTCGCTTTTTGCACAAAGAACTATGATTTAATCTGAAATATTGCCAAGTGTTCATGATATCAATAGTGGAATACTTTACAGAAGTTTAGTATTTGCTTATGGTTTATTATTTGTATACTATGAAAGGAGTTGGCAATAATAAAAAAAACCTGAGAGTATCATATAAAGACATGTATAATACACATATAATATAATGTATAAATACATATATAACAAACTGTATTTTATATATTTATAACATAAGTTCAGCATATGCATTTTTTATTTGTCTATGATGGAATCCTAGGAAGATTTATTGGATGGTTTCTTGTTCCTGAAAAATAAAAATCATATCAATTTCACTTCTATGCCAGGAAATCAATGACTGAAAATGCCTCTCTGGTTGGCTCCTGAAAATTTCACTGCTAAAACACCGACTTAGTATACAAAGTGTTCTCAGCATCAAATGCAAGAGAAGATATTTGTGATCATGACCCCATTCTCTGTCTTCAACAGGGACTTCAAGTGAAGTAAAAAAAAAAAAAATGTTCTGTGTTAACTTTATTGATAAGATGCAGATAATCCACCATGGCTGAATCATCACAGTGGGTCCAAAGCATTAGGTTTGTCTGAAGACAACAGAAATATACATATGCCCAGAAAATGTGCAGGTGTGAAACCATCTAACACATGGAACTTACTCATCATGAACAATCATAGGCCCATCCCTATTGGCAGCTTCTTCTTTTATAACACTTATAAGTTCAAAAGTTTTACTAATGGGGCTATCTGGATTTGGCCATTTAGGACACTGAAAGTGCCTCACTTCAAGTACATAATCATCCTATAACAAGAAAACACAAAGTAATGTTAGTTAGTGACAGTTTACCAGGAGTGGAATCATTGAGGAAAATCAGGAATTACAGTAAGGTAATAAAACCCAATGGCAGGCATGAGTGAGCAGCAGTAGTTGCAGCACATTCTTCATCATAGAAGGAAGAAACAGTTGTGATGCCACATTTAACATGCATAGATTTACTAGTAGAATCAAAAAACATAATTTCTTTTTTTATTCTAAAAATAAACTCTATCTGTGGGTGAAATATGCCAATGCTTACAAACCATGAAACTATGTATCAAAGATGTATTTGCACGGCTAAATTCAAATTTATAAAAGGAAATCATTGGTGTTAAAATCTGTTTTGAAAATAGCATACACTTTCTTCACTTATCAGTAATCCTCAGGCTTAAGTAAAAGATTGCATGACACAGTGGAGAAAACGCCGACAAGGAGGTAGAGATCTAGGTTCAACTCGGATCCCAATTCTGATTCTTACTTAAGTGACCAACAAGACTGTGACTTGATAAATCCCTTAAACTTCTCGCCTCCAGCTTCCAAAAGTGTACTTTTTTAAAAAAATGATACCTTTTTTAAAAACAAGTAGCAGAACCTAAATTTTACATAAAAGTGCAAAGGGCCAAAATAGCCAAGATACTGGTAAATAAGAAAAACAATAGAGGAAATTAACTCATCAGATATCAAGAATTACTCTAAGCTATAAGAAGTAAAACACTGCCATTGTGGCTGAGGGATGAACAAAGTGACCAATGGAATAAAATAAATGTCCTAGAACAAGCACACATATATATATGTATATATATATGTATATATATACACACACACACACACACACACTATATGAATGACTGAACTGATATTGCTAATTCATAAATAATGGTGGGACAATGGGTATCACATGGAAAATAATGAAACCGAACCCTTGTCTCACAAAATATAATACAAAAAGTCAATTTCAGGTGGTACGTTTGGAAAACAGTGTAAGAGAGCATCTTCATGATTTCAGGGTAAAAGGTATTTTTTTAAGATACTAAATGATGGTTTCCTTTTAAAGGCCAGGAATAAAAAGATCAATACATTCATATAGATTAAACTTCAAAACTTTTCTTTCACAAAAAAAAAGACAAAAAAAAAAAAAAGAATCACAAAGAAAGTAAAAAATTCAAATCCCAAACTGGGAGAAAGTATTTGCAATATATGCAGCTGACAAAGGATTAGTATCCACAATACGAGACCTCTGATAAATCAGTAAATGATAAATAACCTAACAGAAAAATGGGCAAAAATCATGAACAGACACAGTACAAAAGATAAAATCTGAATGGTCAATTAATTTATATAAAAATATGTTTATGTAAAAATAATATGTATAAAACATATTGTATGTAAAAATATTATTTATGTAAATAATTATGTAAAAATGTAAAGTTATGTTGAAAACTTCATTTTCAACAAGAGAAATGCAAATTAAAACCAACAAGAGATGCCGTTTCATTCCCAGCACAAGCACTGATGAGGATGTAGTGCACTCATACATTCCTGATGAGAGGATACCTTTGTAGGATGACTTTGGAAAACAATTGAATTCATTTAGTAAAGTTAAAGAAAGTTGAAGATGATCCAACACAATAACACAGCAGGGGAATTCCCAGGATATCCCCAAGAGGAAATTTTGCATGTGACTAAAAATATTCATATCAGCACTGTTCGTAATAGCAACATCAAACCAAGACAAAACACAACAAACAAGTAATAATTTGCATGTAAAATAGAAAAAAGGATATGTATTATCTGGAATGCTAAGCAGCAGCAGTAAATGAATTTGAACTATACCCAAATACATAGATAAATCTGAGTAGCATAATACACATAATTTATATAAAGTTCACAGATATTTAAAAGTAAGCAGCACGCGTGTGAAGGAAAACAAAGACAAGGGTTAACTGATAAAATAAGTCAAGAGAACAATAAACACTAATTCAGGAAGAGGCTACTTCTGAAGTGAGGAGAGGATGAAGGGGATAGGGAGCAAATGAAAGACTTGATGGTCAAGGCCATGTTCTATTTCTTAAAGTCAATGGTGGGTAAAAGTAATTTAACATAATTGTCAAACCTTGCACATATAATATAAACATCTTAAATATATTCAATATTTAATAAATTCTTAAAAATAGTCCTCATAACAAATACATAAATAAAAGGCCCCTAGCTTTTGAGCTCAGTAGCATAGACCTTCACTTGTCTACTAACCTCAAATGTGATATTTGGTTAAAGTGCCTAAAAATGTCTGAAGTTAATGAAACTGTCCAGTTTAGTCTTTCCTTCTTTTTTGATCTTTGTTATAGAAATACTGTTTATCCCTGGGTTGGGCTCCTGGATTATCAAGTTGTCCATAATAGCTGATTTACATAGATGAGACATACTGAATTAGGATCAATCAGGAACCTGTATTATCTAGTTTATTTTCTGAATAATACTAGGAGAAAAACAGTGCTAATTTCCCAGTGCTGAGCAAGATATTAAACATGATCAGTGATCAGGATAATGGGTGTGACAAGATAATAGGTATATAATGATTATTACTCTTGTAATAGGCTTTCTTACTAACTAGGAATAATGAGAAGGCATGAGAGATGGCAGATCTAAATGGATGCTACTAAAGTGATCAGGGAGTAATCAGAGATAGAAATTAGCATGGAACATTAAGAGCTCTCAGGGACCTTACGAGCCTTCTAGTTTCTGCCCTTCATTTTACAAATAAAGACCTAAGTCTTTTTTGTTTTAATGAGATAGGATACTATTCCACTGCTATGCTGTTTACACTATTAGTTATTTGTATTATCAAGTTTATATGTATTGGTCATTTAAATATTCTAGAGGATAGAGAATCTTCTTGTATACCATATATGTACTAGTTTTCAGAACTAGAGAAAAGTGAAACATTCAAATTATTTGGAACATGATTTAATCTTTGTCATATTGAGAAGGTACTCTGAATCTCACATTCCTTAGACATCATTGTTAGTATCTTTTAGTATTTTACTATAGTTCTATGTAAATAATCATTGACAAATAATTCAATAATAGATATTTGCATATAATTAAGTTTAGTAAAACAATGTATTATCTTGTAGATAACAACAGTATCTTGTGTAATAGATAACCAAGACTTTAGTAAAATATTCTTAGTTTATTGTCCTGTGTGTTTTCAAAGCACTTCATTTATCAACTTACTACATCACTATCACTCATCAACTTTCTACATTGGTAGAGAATAGTAAGTTTCGGTAGGTAGTATTTTTCCCATTTTACTTAGGAGAGTTTAGGTAGGTAGTATTTTTCCCATTTTACTTACAAGGTAAGGGATTACATTAAAACATGAGAATTAAAATTAATAAATTTATTCTTTTACTGTGTTTATTTTTCACCTAAGTTCTGTCAACCACTAATCTGGAGTAAATGAGCTTTGATTTCCTGTGTGTGTAAAATTCAGGAATGACGTAGTGATGACTAATTGTTTAATGATTCTATATCATTTTGAAAATGAAAGTGACAAGGTAATTTGATTATTTGTGTATTTGTCTCAATGGGGAAAAAATCAGAATCATGCTTTTCATTTCTAGGACAGATCCTTAGGTCAGAATATGTTTAACATGTGTTTAAGATAAAAAGTTTGTCATTTAACTTATATCCTTACCTGTGTAGCTTCTAAGATAAAGTCCTGAATTATAAGTTTTTCCTCATTAGATAGACATTTGTGTTCTTCAGCCATAAGAGTGACCTTAAAGCTCTCACAATTTATAGGCTCATCTTTATTTGGCCAGTAAACAAATTCATCTTCTGCCTGCAGAATTGCAAATGAAAGAAGAGTCTAGATTTTAATAAAATGACCAATAAGTCAGATTGTGAAATAAAGTTAATTGGTTGGCACAGAAATTTCAACTCCAATTTTTCTTTGAATCTGAATATTTACTCTTAACATCTTTCTCGTGCCTTCAACTAGATTGATGTGCTGAATAAAATATCACACTTAGGAACCCAAACTATTGCTTTATTATTTTATGCTCTTAGCTTATCAACAATGATAAGCTTATTGCTTCTGTAATTGACAACTGAGTACAGAAGATTCAAGTGATTTTAAGAGCTCAGAAATTTCCAGCCTCATGTGTAATGGTCACACAATAACTTTATAGATAAGAACTGAATATCAAAGCTAAGTAAACATGTAAAGCCTAAATGAAATATTTATTTTACTTGTTGGGTTCTCCAAACATATATAAAGAGGGGGATGGGATATCGCTGCTTTTCTTATACTAAAAAAGTCCTTCCTATACTAGGAAATCACTTAATTCTAACTAGGTCTTTTTTTTAAAGAAAAAATTAGAGACCTCCTTAAACTCAGGGAATCTCTAAATATTCTAACACATTTTATTTTAAAAATGTAAATAGAAGCATATAGACTGATTTCTTTCATGGCTGTGATTCTAATTTTCTTAAGCAATGTCACAAAACACATACATTTAAGTTCATTTATATCTACTTTCATTTAAAACTTTTATTCATCACTTTGACCTAGGAGATTGTATAATGAAACCAAGCCCAACAGCAGAAGAGTATGCCTTCAATGACATTAGTTTATTAGTTGAAAACAAAATTACTTTGCTTGTTTGTATGCTGGACTTTTTGCTGTTTGTAACCTGATATTCCTCTGTAAAGGAAGTCCCAAAAGTGGTCTAAGGGACTTACCATGTTTTGGCCATCAGGAATCATAACCACCAGTTGGGCATTATGGTCCCATATCATCCTCCAGAAATCCTTGATGGTATGAAGGAGAGGGTGCTGGGTAATGATGAATTCATTGCTCTGGTAATAGCCCTACAAAACCAAAGAGAAGACAAAAACAGCACTGGCGTATGCCTTTAAACATTCAGATAAGCATTTATACATCAATGGACCTTAAGTCAAAATAGTCTTTTGAATTGCAGATTGTGTCTATATGTAGTAATATGATTATTATAGCCAATGCTTACTGGGCACTTTGTATGTTAGGTGTGACACTATGTGTTTTTTTTTCTCTTAAATCGTTTGTTCCTCACAGCAATACTGTGAGATAGGAACTGTGACCCCCATTTTACAGATGATTAAACTGAGGCTTTAGAAATTAAGCATTGTGCCCAAGTTTGCCTTAAGAAGTCAGATGTAGTATTCAAGGTTACCTATCATCTTGTAGTGAATGTTTATGATTTTTATGTTGCCTTGGCATTCCTTTTAAATATAAGTTGGACTTTGTCATGCCAGAAGCAGGGTTCAGTCACCTTGATACAGTTTCCAGTTCTACATCGTCCCATCCACCAGTTCCTTAAAGTGATCGATCCAGTTGTCTAACTTACAAAACTGCTCCATAGTGACCATTTCACTACAGAACAGCCTGCTTGGCTGGCCTCGCTGACCCTCACACCTACATGGACTTTGCAGATATGCCATAGTAAATACCTCTCAGTCACTACATAACCTCCTGGGACTTGTGCCTGCTTGCTTTAAACTCATCAAGTAAAACTCCCCATGGAAAACCTACTTGGATAATGCCCTGGACTCAGTGGGGGCATTGGTCCATGGGTCCTTTTCTCTCTTTCCCTGCTTGCTCTGCCTAAGCTCTATGCATGTGGCCTCCAGTGCCATGAACCCTTCAGGGTCCATAAATACTAAAAACTCTGAATTTTCACACTGTGGTTTTTCATTGAAGACTTTAGGTGAGACTGCTCAATGGAACCCATGCAGGTGAATCCCTTATTGGTGCTCTTTCATCTGGGCATCTGGTGGTCACTGAGAATGGTAGCTATCAGCTAAGCTGATAGAGAAACTTGAACAGTTTCATTAAAAACACACCTCTAGCTGTAGACTTACCAAACTGCTTTGTGGATACTGTCTCTTACTCCACAGAGAGTGGGAAATCTACAGGAGAGTTTACATTTCCCACTTTGGTGTCCAGACACCTTGGTTGCCTCTACAAGAGAGGAACCAGGGAGACATCTTGCATATTTTGCTACAGATACCTAGAAGCTAGAGCTATTGTATTAACTGTGATATTTATACTGTTACTAAAGTCCTGGCTCTTCTAGCCCCTTCTGCTTTCAGATCCCATTCCTATCACCCAGTGGCTCATTTGAAATGTGAATGTATTTAGATGCCACTACCACACATCCCTGTGTTTCCTGCATAGATATTCCTTAATATTTTCTTTGCTGGATAAATAGAACAGAGGTTTTGGAATAAGAATTAGGTTTTCATCAGAAGCCAAGCTCCGTGATTGATTGACCTTAAATGTTAATGAAGGTCACACAACAGCTACTAAAACACTCATCCCTCACACAAAAGATGTAAATGCAGAAGAAAAGCATTGTATCTTTAGAAATCCAGGTCCTAAAATGAGCCCAGTTTGCAGGCTAAAAATCATGCTGCAAACCTGAAGTAGTGATGTCAGTGAGGTTAGGCTTTGCTGAAGCCAGTGAATCCCGGGTTTGCTCAGGGGTTCTGCCTTAGTGAAGGAAATAAAGCCTTTTAGATAAGCAGGTATAAGTTTTATATCTACTCATCAGCCCTAAATGGTGAGTTTGTGTTCCTGCATCTGCTAATTGGTCTTGCTTGAGGTTTCTTCAGTCCCAGCACACATAAAAGCATGCCATTATTACAACTGTTGCTGTGGACTGTGGGCTTGCAGTCAACAGATTTAACTTAAATTTACCACTCATTTGCCCATGCCTGTAGTCTTTGCTTCTGGCAGCCCATTCTGGTTTTGATCCCTGTAACACAAGCTGGCAGTCTCCTCAGTGACTTCTCTGACTTACCATGATATAGGAGGCATTGATGTAGTCTGTGCCTTCTCCACTCAGGGATGAAATGCCAACCCTTGATCTTTCCACTGGAACACAGAACATTCATTGTAAAACAAAACAAAACAAAACAAAACAAAACAACTCATGCTCACAGCACTGTACCATCTTTTCCCCATGCCAGATGTAAAATATAGCTACATTTTTCAAGTTGAAGTGTCTCTGATCTGTAAGCTAATTTTTCTATACATTTTGCATATTTAGATAAGACTTCAAGGATTTATGAGTCCTTTGGAACAGTTACATATTGGACAAAATTAAAAATATTTGAATGTGCTCCATTTGCTCCAAAGGTATACAAATATTGCCAAATTTCCTACAAGGCTTTTATTATTTTAAAAAAGTTGTTTTTTCAAGGATCAACACAACTTACCAGGGATGATAGAAGAAGTTCGATTCTTTTCCCTGTTGCATTGCTTTAGGGCTGCAGAATAGTCACTCTGCTGTATATTTGACTGGCTCAGGAGCTGGGCAAGAAAGTAAAAAAATATATAGGTTATTTCATTTAAGTCCCCCAAATACACACACACACACATACATACAGACACACACACACACACCAATCAAGATAAGATACTGACTAAAAATATATATGAAATGTTTTCCAACAATTCCTTGAATTTAACCTTGTTTTAGTGAACTTCCTGGAGCTTCTGTGTTTTACACCAGGGGAGTTACAAGAAGCAAAGAAATCTCTAGTAATTCTTTTAGCATTGAGATAATCTTCCTCACGGCTTCCACTATAGATGTGCAACCTCCATTTCCTCTATTTAAATCTCACACAGACGTTTGGAGGTAAATTACATCGTGTGTGTGTATATACATATATATGTATATAATTCAATTTTATTTATTCCTTCTGTTACTACTCCATTACATGAATAATCTACATTCTGTTTATCTACTCCTCAGCTAGTGAATATTTGGGTATTTGCAGTGTTTTGCAATTGTATAGCTTTATAGATATGAGCATCTCCTGTATGTCTCTTAATGTGCACATGTGTGACGGTTTCCATAGAGCATTAGGAGTATTCAGTTATTCAGTGTTTTATTTTTGACAGTCGGGTAAATGAAAAATAGTATATCATGGTTTTGATTTGCATCGTCTTAATTTCTGTGAAATTGTGAATTTTGGTGCTCATTAGTCATTAAGATATCTTCTTTGATGATTGCCTTTTCATATTTTTACTTCATTTCCACTTATTAATTTGTAGGGGGTTCTTGCTGTCTTGAATGTAAATCTATAGTGTGTAAAAAGTTGGAAACATCTTCAGTTTCTTTAATCACACAGAGATTTACAGCCAATTTATTTTTCTTATTTAAGTTTTCTGCAAATTATCATTTTACGTAAGAAGTCCTTCTCTATCCTGAAGTTATTAAGAAATACTTTCCAATATATGCCCTGCTGTGCATTTTCCTCCCCTCCCCTCCTCTCCTTTTCCCTCCCCTCTCCTCCCCTTCAATTCTTTTTTGAGACAGGTGTCCACTCTGTCACCCAGGCTGGAGTGCATGCAGCTTCAATCTCCTGTGCTCATGAGTTCCTCCTGCCTCAGCCTCCCGAGTGGCTGGCACTACAGGCATGCACCACCACACCTGGCTAATTTTGGTATTTTTTATAGAGAAGGGGTTTCACCATATTACCCAGGCTGGTCTCGAACTCCTGGGCTCAAGCAATCCCCCTGCCTTGGCCTCCCAAAGTATTGGGATTACTGGTGTGAGCTACTGTGCCCAACCCAATATTTTCTTTTCTAAAATGATCTTACAATAGTTATAAAGGTTTGCTTTCACCTTTAGGTAGTTAATCCATCTTGAATACATTTTAGTGTTTGAGGAGTGGTAGAGATACAATGTTACTTTTTTTGACATGAAAATTTTCCCAATGTTATTTATAGATTAATCTGCTGTTTCTTCACTGATACGTAATGTTAACTCTACCACATAACAGATTTCCTCAAATGCATCATTCCTCTGCTAGATTCCTCCGTTTTCCAATACTATTATATCACATCATAAGTCTTCCATATACAGTACAACAGAATTCTTCTATTATTATTTCCTTTTCAGTATAGGTGAGATATTTTGGCTGTTTAATTTTCCATGCTAAATTAAAATCTGTTCTACATTTTCCATGAAAAATCCTGCCATAAATTCGATTGATACTGCATTGACTTCTATAGTCAATGTAAGGAGAAGCAATATCTTAATATTTCCATGTATCAACATTATATTTTATTTGGGCCTAATTTTATGCTCTTCAATTCACTTTTATAAATTTCTCTATATTTACTGCACATTTTGTTAAGTGTCTTTTTTGAGATGATGAAGTTTTTGCTACTGTTTTGTTATTGTTTTTGTTAATGATTGGGTTCTTTTTTGTTCTAAAACATTTTCTAATCACTCAAAGCTAACAAATAACAATGCTATTGATTTTTATGTATGTTTATTAAACTCTAACTAAAGAAAATTATTTTCTCTTTTGCTTCTCTTGATATTCTTTGCAGGTAGTTATATTATCTATCTGCAAATCCTTTTCTACCTTTATACATCTATCTAGTTTAATTCTATTTCCAGAATAATGTTGAATAGCAGGGCCAATAATTGACATTCCTTATCTTTTCTGGAATCTACTATGAGCATTTCCAATTTTAATTTTTATGTATGATGTTTATTGTAGTTTTATGACAGATACTTTCTAGAAGGCTAAGAAAGCTTTCTTCTATTTCTGGTTTACTAAGAGTTCTTTTTTTAAATGAACAATATAGAATTTGATTGACTACTTTTCCTGTATTAATTGACAGGGTCATAATGTTTCTTTATGTAAATCTATTCATATTTTCCAGTGTTAAACCATCATTTCATTTTTGGAATAAACCCTATAAACTCTACTTGCTCATGATATTAAAGAAATACACTGCTGGATTTGAGTTGCTGATATTTTAAATAAGATTATTGATACTGGCCTATAAGTGTCTTATTCTGTCTTTGTTCAGTTTTGGTATCAAAGTTATATTTGTCCAATAAAATAGCTGGGTTAGTTTTCCACCTGGATTTTTTATGCTAACATTTGGAATTTTCTGTGCCTTAAAAATTGGTAAAATGTGACATTAAATTATTTTGGGCCTGGTTATATTTTGAAGGTGGGATTTTAGGCAGCTGATTTGATTTCCTTAATGGCTATTGGCCTAGTTAAATTTTCTATATATTTTTAGTGTATTTTCATTATATTTTTCCTTTAAAAATTCTTTTTAGTTTTCATTTCTTTGGGTACATAAAAGGTGTAATATTTATGGAAAACATGAGCTATCTGATGCAGGCATACAATGCATAATAATCACAGGAGGGTAAATGGGGCATCCATCACCTCAAGCATTTAACCTTTCTTTGTGTTACAAACAATCCAATGATATGCTTTTAGTTATTTTAGAACATACAATAAATTATTCATTTCATATAGGTTTTCAAATGTATTGTCACAAATATATTCAAAGTATGCTTTTGTGTTTAAAAATGTTTCTAAATTATATCTCTTTTTTTAATCTCAATATTATTTACTCACATTCTTTCCTCCCTTCATCAATCTGGACACAGGTTTGTCTATTTTAATAGTCTTTTGATAGAACCTGCATTAGGTTTTGTTAAATCTTTATTTAATCATTTTAATTTTCTATTTAATTTTAAAAACTTTAAAAATGTTATGTAGTGCTTCTTTTGACCTTTAATTCTAAAGATTTTATAATTTCCTCTTAAATATGTATATTATTTAAAAGGGTATTTTTAATGCCCAAATATCAAAATTTTTATGGAAACCTTTCACTGTCAATTTCCAATTTTTACTGTATTATACTCTGAGAAAATGACTGATATGATATAGATTCCTTAAAATTATCTCCCTTTTCCCTCTGCATCTATTAACAGTTTTATTTTAGAGTATGTGTGCAATGGGCCAGGTGCAGTGGCTCATGGCTATAATTCCAGCACTTTGTGAGGCCACAGCAGGCAGATCGATTGAGCTCAGGAGTTCGAAACCATCTGGGCAACATGGCGAAACCCCATCTCTACAAAAAACATTTAAAAAATTAACCAGGCGTGGTTGTGTACACTTACTATAGTCCTAGCCACTCGGGAGGCTGAGGTAGGAGGATCAGTTAAGCCAGGGAGAGGAAGGTTGCAGTGAGCCGAGATTGTGCCTCTGCACTCCAGCCTGGGTGACAGAGTGAGACCCTGTCTCAGAGAAAAAAAAAAAAAAAGGAATATATGTAGCAACACACCACACACACACACTCACACACACCCACCTTCTCTTCACAGATAATAGAAACCGTAGAGTACTTCCTCAGCCTCCAGCCTTAGAGCCTATATGTGTACTACTGTAAACATGCACATAGGTTTTACTGATTTTGAACACTAATTCCTTTACCTGTGTCCTGAATCCCGCCTCTTTGTACCACCCAGGGTCTCTGTACTCTCCAATTATCTCCCTTCCCATTAGTTTTTAAAGAAGCTCTCATGTCTCATATTAAAACATAAGCAAAGAAACCCCAAATAAACAACCCCCAAATCTTACTAACTCAAAGTTTTCTTATAGTTATCTTAATCATTCTATCCAGAGTAAACAATTTTTAAGAGTTATATAATTGTCTTTAATTCCTCAAATCCATTTACTCCTTAACTCCCTGTAATCTGGTGTCAATGCTATACTTTTCAAATAGCTCTTAGACAAAGGTCATCAATGACTTCTGTCTAAATCCAACGGCCTCCTCCATTCCCAACATACTTGATTTGTCATTAGCACTTGCCATCTCTGTTCACTTCCTCTTTCAAGAAACATTATTTACTTTGGATCCTAGTATATTCCGCTGTCCCGAATTTTCTCCTACCTTCTGATGCCACTTTCCCCCCTTTCCTTTGTGGGCTGGCCATTCATAGGTTAATTAAAATGTTTTCTTAAGTAATCCTTTCTAACCTTTCTTAGACATTTCATTTTTAATTGGCTATTTTATCCAATTCCGAGGCTTCAAGGAACCATCTCTACGCTGATCACTCCCAAATCCATTTCTTCAGGCCAGACCTCTCTTATGCTTCAGAACCAGTATCCAACTGCCAAATATACATGTTTATTGGGACATCTCCCAGTAACCTAAAAATAAGGTAGATTTGGAAATATCTCACGTCTTCTCCCTCACCACACCTCTCAAGCATGTACCACCTCCTCTTCCTGAATTCTCGATCATGGTGAATGACATCACTACTTTCCCAGTGCCCAAACAGAATCTGAGTAGTTATGCTTGTGTCTTTTCTCTCCTCTCTCTCTGCAATGTCCAATGAATCACCAAATCCTGTGTTCAACTCTTAAATATATCTTACGCAATTCTCCTCTGGTAAGTTGCATCCTTACCTGTACTCCTACAGCATCCTGTTTTACCTCTATAATGGCATTTTTCACACTATTTTGTTTATCTGTTTCTTTCTTTCTTTTTTATTTTTTTAGAGACAAGGTCTCACTCTATCTCCCAGACTGGAGTGCAGTGGCACAATCATAGCTCACTGTAATCTTGAACTTCTGAGCTCAGGCAATTCTCTCACCTCAGCCTCTGAAGTAGCTAGGACTACAGGCTCATGCCACCCACCCAGCTAATTTTTTTATAGAGACAGGGTCTTGCTCTGTTGCCCAAGCTGGTCTCAAATTCTTGACCATGGTCCCCCAAAACAGAGGAATTACAGGTGTGACCCACTGCACCTGGCCTGTTTGTGTTTTCTTACCTGTATCTTCTAATAGACTGCAGGCACCATAAGACTAGGAGCTGGGTGTGCTTTATTTATTTATTTTACAAATTCTTGTTTGCGCCCTAATAACACAAAAGCCTGGCATCTGGCAGGTGTCTGATAAGTACTTGCTGAATACACAGATATTCAACTTATTTCAAGGAAATTTTCTACAGACAAACTCGAATAGATATCTTTTTATGGGATGGTACACACACATACACACAAATACATTTCCCTATTTATGATGTTAACAGGAAAGAGAGTAAAATATCTCTCTTTTCAATTGAATTCTGACCTTATAGTTAATATTTTCATTTTGATCCTGGATTATTTAGCTTACCATATCAATGTTTTTATGCAACTACACAGGGGCAAATCATATTTAAATGAGAGTTTTTTTGAAATGGGTAATATTGTGTGTGTGTGTGTGTGTGTGTGTGTGTGTAATTTATTTAGGGAAAAGATATCTTTACAACTTAATTACATTTTAACATTTCTTTATTATCTGAAAACCAACTGCATACTCTTTTCCCCCCTAAGGCATTCCTTTATGACTGAGATAAGCTTGGATGAGTAAAACATGTATGACTTTCTGACAACAGGTTCTAAACTCAGTATTGATCCCAATCTTTCTCTTACACCTCCAAAGGCACACCGTGCAGTAATTTAAAAGGCAAATGGCCCAAAGGAATTCATGGTGGCTAACATCCTATGCTGTAGACTGGGGAGCAAAGCAGGAGAAATAAGTGAAATCTCAACATTTGTTAACTCTCCTGGGTTTTTCTAAGGTCTTCCAAATTCTTCCCAGATATTCATTCTTCAAAATTTGGCCCTATTTCTCCAGGAACTCTGAGAAGCAAGCAGATAGCACAGGAACAATGTGGAGTGAAATAATATAGCCCCCATTCCTGTGGAAAGCTACGATTCTGCACATGCTTTGGTCTCAGCTGGCAGGTCCGGTAACACCTGCTTTCTGAATTCTTTGCCTACTGATTTCTGAAAGTCAGAGAGCTGGTATTGTGGGAAGTACAATATGGACAAAACATGCTCTTGTCTCTGGCTTATGGCCTTGAGACAGGGTGAGGGGGAGAAACTGGGGTTGAAGAAGCTATTATTCCAGTGTGTACTACTTTGGTCCAGGGGTTTCAAGTGAGACACAGATTTTTTCCAAAGAGTATCAGGAACAGCCTGAGCCACCGCACTCATGTTTAAGTGGTCTGTTTTTTTTTTTCAAAGTAAAAAGAGCACTTATATAGTATGTTTTACAAGTTCTTTCTGTTCATTCTGTTATGCTCTGTGCCCTTCTTTTCTCGACCAAGTTTGCATTTATAAAAGTTAGTTTAAGGTTTCTGAGAACTTTTCCTCTTGCTGCTCAGAATTATGTTTCTCCTTGAAATTTACCATGTGGCACTGTAGCCCACAGTAAGGAACAACGATGGCTCAAATACAAAGTCATTGTACCCATACTGCCCACTCAACGTGACCCTGTCAACTCAAATGAGAAGATGCAGGGACATTCAGTTCTGTAGTGACATCCAAGAGGCTTCCAAGAGGACTCACCTGGAATTGTTTCTCTAGCTTTGTTTTGCCTGCTGGTCCAGGAATGAGGAGTGCATTAACATAGGCATGAATATGACTGTCCAGCACCTCAGTTTCTTTACTAAGTATGGCCTCAACCAGTGTATCATGAATGAAGACATATTGCTCCTGGCAAAACAATGACAATAAGCAACATTAGTTCAAGTTTTCCTCATATGTATCTACCTACAAACATAGTACCTTCCATTGACAGACAAGGAGAGTTTTACAGAATGGGGGAAGACCCACACAAGATTGCTTACAAAACCTGGAAGGAAGTCAGACAGAGGAAAGGAAGTGGTCACAGAAGAAAGAACCTCTTCTCATTCCTTACCTCTTCATTTATTATGTATTGTTGGCAATACACAATAGGTTAGGAGGCAGGAAGAGTTGGCAAGGCAAAGGAATGTCCTCTCTGCCTATCCTTCAAACTTGACACCTCTATACTTCATGAGAGGGCTTTCTTGACTTCTACACTTCTGGTGGGCCTACCCCTTCTGGCAACGCCAACTCTCCTTTTCGCTTGTCATATACAATTTAACTCAATTTTATATATAGTTAATAGTTCTCTGATATTTCACATACGGGACTCTTTCTTGGTCTTATATGACCAGAATGTTATTTTTTAATGTTTATTTTAAGTTCAGGGGTACATGTGCAGGTTTGTTACACAGGTCAACTTGTGTCATGGGGGTTTGTTGTATAGACTATTTCATCACCCAGGTATTAAGGCTCATACCCATTAGTCCATTAGTTATTTTTCCTGATTCTCTCCCTCCTGCCATCCTCCACCCTCTGAAAGGCCCCAGTGTGTGTTGTTCCCCTCTATGTCTCCATGTGTTCTCATCATTTAGCTCCCACTTATAAGTGAGAACATGTGGTATTTGGTTTTCTGTTCCTGTGTAAGTTTGCTTAGGATAATGGATGGAAGGATGTTTGGTGTGGTTTCGTTTTGAAGCCCACTCAGCCATGTGTTTCTGATTGCTTTCAAGCTGCCATTCATAGGTTTCCATTTAAGTTCATTTTTATTTAGAAACAGTGAAGATAAAATGCAGATTTGCTGACACTGTTCTGTCACTTACGGGTAAACTATATGGGCTTAAAATGGATATAATTTAAGCATAATTCATATTTTTTTAAAAAATGAATTGATTCATCCACTATGTATATGAAGAACTTGAGATTTTTGCTAGCAAGGATGTGTGTGGACCACTCTACTTAGACTTTTGCTGTATCTTCTCTGTGACCAGTGTCATTTTAAAGGATATTCCCTATTTGGGGTCACAAAACAGATAAAATTTATCTGGCTCATTCATGACATAGCTGCAGTTACTGGTGTCATGGGTTGAATGGTGTCCCCCCACAAAGATATATTAAAGCTCTAACCGCCTGATAACTCAGAGTGTGATTTTATTTGCATAAAAGTTTGTTACAGATGTAATCAGTTAAGATGAGATCAACTGGAGGAGGAGGATAACTGGTATGCTTATAAGAGGAGGAAAATTTGGATACAGACACAGACACAGAGGGAAACAGCCAAGTGAAGACTGAGACTGGAATTGTGCTGCCACAAGCCACGCAATGCATGGGGCTACCAGGAGATGAAAGAGGCAAGGAAGAATCTTCTAGAGGCTTCTGGAAGGGCATGGGCCTACAGACATCAGAACTATGAGACAATAAACTTCTGTTGTTCTAACCCACCCAGTTTGTATTACTTTGTTTTGCAGTCCTAGGAGATGAATACACCTACATTTTAGTGACATTTCCATACCTTAGATGAATAAAATCATCTTTTTAAAAATCATACCTCAGTTTGTACCAAATAATTTCTTTGTGAACGGATGTGTTTTAAGAAGCCAAATATGTTGACAGTTCCTTCGTGTTGAATCTGCTGCAACATACTGTCTAGCACAATATATGTGCCTGTTCTTCCAACTCCAGCACTGAAGAGAAGACCAAGAAATAAATATTTCAATGTTAAGCATAAAATAAATTTGAAAAATAGATCACTACTGGTTGTCATGTTGATTAAAATAACTTCCTTCTTCAAGCGAGTGAGCCACACAATACATTTGGCAATTCAATATTGTAAACAGTTTAGTAATTAAGCGTAATGCTTTACACAACAAATTTAGAAGTACCCTTTCTAATGTTTTGTCATGTGTCTAATTGCAAAACAACCTCACTATATCTGTTGGAGATTTTAAAACTTTCAAAAACCATATTTATTATTCATTGTATATTGTACAATGAAAATATTATGTATCAGAGTGTGGCAAATAGACATTTAATCTGACAAAAGTGAAAGCTTTAACTTCACCAAATTCTGAAAAGAAAAAGTCCCTAGGTCTATGTTTCCAGGTAGACATGTTTGTAAAGATTTCTGCGTTAATGGGAAAAAGAATTTGATAAAGCTTTCTGCTGAAAATATCATTTCAGTGAGATTGTGAGGAATAAAGCATGACTTCAGTTATTTCTAAAGGGCCATTATCTATCGACTTCTTCAAAGCCTCTAGCAGAGGGACAGAATTCACGGACAGGGATTCTTTTCAAATGTTCCGACAAGTAGGAAGTGCTAGAGTGGAAAATTAGCACCTGCTCTGCACAATAGCCTGGTCCTTCTCCGTTTGCTAGGAAACAATCCCTGACCTTCAGCACTATTTTTCTTGCATCTTCCTGTTTTCCTCAGTTTATAATCAGGCTAACAGATTAAAAAGCCTCAAGATGGGTCTCTCAAATTTAACTCCTGAGATGGTAATTAGAATGTGTTAGATAAGCTATATATCAAAGGCAAACACTTGATTCTCTAAAAACACACTGCTTTGATAACAATACTTCACATAGAAACAAATTTGATTTTTGTGATCTAAGGCTTGGCACACAGTCAGCACTCAATAAATATTAACTGCTATTATTATTTTAACTGAAAACATTAAATAAGGATTTTCAACATTTTTCCTCTTTCATTGAAACATCATTATTTCTATTTATCAACCTAGTCTTGGAAATTAAAAAATCTTGGCAACAATGAATTGACAATACATTCAATGTAATGTATTAAAACTCAAGAAAATGAAAAAGGGATTCTGGTCCCAAAATGTTTAAAAACAACTTAAATATATTTTGCCAAATTTCTCACAATCTGTGTGCTTTGGCTTCTGTGATACAAGCCTGGCATAATAATTCTAAAACAGAATTTTAACTCCTAGGGACAGGGGTTGTAGCTCAAGCATTTTTATCCCATGGTATTATATGTTGAGGTAAATATTTGTTTAACAACAAAAACATTGTTCCACCTGCCTCAAATAGTTAATAAGCTGAAATGCAGTTGAACAATCAAATAAAATAATCAACATCAAAAAATATGTGGTGCTTAGAAATATTCAGCAATCCAATTCTGAGTCTGGCATGTTCATTTCCTAGTGATCAATACTTATGAAAATGAACATATAATTTCATCACCCTCATTTCAAGAAATCATTCCCATTTGGGCAAAAGCTTTGTTCCATTGATTTCCTTTTTGCAAGTATAAGCAATTCTATGGGTTTAGAGGCACATCTCTGAGACTCACCTGCAGTGGACGACAACAGGCCCCACTGCATGGCGCTTGGCATAGGCTGCCTTTCTCACAAAGGTCAGCACTGGCAGGGAGTACTCTGGTACTCCCATGTCAGGCCACTGCGTGTAGTGATACTGTGTGACCACACGTCCACTGGGTCTTCCTTTCTGGGAGCCCTGGAAAAGTTCAGACAGTTAATAACAGTCAAACACACACACACACACACACACACACACACACACACACACACACACACACACACGGTTCTTCAACAGCAAGTCAGGAATCATAGCTTGATTTGATGTTGAGGGTCCATAATGAATGAAAGAAAGTAGAGTGTCATTTGTGATGGTTAATTTTGTGTCCACTTGGCTATACTATGGTGGCCCATTGTTTGGTCAACACTAATCACACAAAATGTTGCTGTAAAGGTATTTTGTTTAGATGTGATTAACATGTAAGTCAGCAGACTTTGAGTAAAGCAAATCATAGTCCATAATGTGGGTGAGCTCCATTCAACCACTTGAAGGCTGTAAGAACAAAGACTGATAGGATAGGTTACCTGAAGAATAAAGAATTCTTCTCAACAGTGCAACGTAAAGATCCTACCAGAATTTCTAGGCTGCCAGCCTGTCCTACAGGTTTAAGATTTGCTAATCCCCATGATCATGTGAGTCAATTCTTAAAAATGTAAACCTCTCTATCTCTCTATTCTGTTGGTTCTGTTTCTTTGAAGAACCTGAGTAATACGTTATTCTTCGTGTTTCCTTTCTTTTTCTTGTTTCACTCTCCACTCTTTTTAGTTGAATATTGGGATTGTGTCAGGGCCATCCTATGCAGTTGCCACACAAGGTAGGAATTTCTGTTCATGTATCACATTCACTTTAAACATCAGCAACAAAACCAGTCTGGCTCCAAAGCCACAACAGGCATCTAGAGACCTGAAAGAAACCTTTAGGACTGACGGCAGCTGTGATAAGAATTCTTTTTTTTTTTCTTTTCTTTTTTTTTTGACAGAGTCTCACTCTGTTGCCCAGGCTGGAGTGCAGTGGCATGATCTTAGCTCACTGCAACCTCTGCCTCCTGGGTACATGTGATTCCTGTGCTTCAGCCTCCCAAGTGTGCACCACCACACTCAGCAAATTTTTGCATTTTTAGTAGATATGGGGTTTCACCATGTTGGCCAGGCTAGTCTCGACCTCCTGACCTCAAGTAATTCACCCACCTTGGCCTCCCAATGTCCTGGGATTACAGGCATAAGCCATGCACCTGGCCTGGTTACAAGAATTTTTAATGCCTTTAGTTATATGCTTTTTACCCTTTCTTGGTTCTATCGCTTATTCACTTAAAAAATGACCAAATGCATTGTTCACTTGATTATGCCCATCATTTTGTTGACTCACCTTTTTTATTTTTGTGTTTCTTAGAGTAAAATTCCTCACAGTATAATAGGCAAGCACTTGCACACTCTTCTGAGTGACCAGAAAGTTCCCGTACTCCTCACTCCCATCGGCAGGCCAGTACTGATCACATTTTCTCTGCAAAAGAAAATGTAGATGTTACTTCTGTATTTCAAATGCTCCATGTAAAAGTCATTCCCTGAAATCAGTAAAGGTCTGAGATGGTGACAGGAATGGACTCCTTCACTCTTCTAAATGTTTTATTTTCTTTATAAGTGACTGAAATTAGTTGTGGAGGAGGCTAGGGATAGAATCTGAGAGCTGAACGAGACTGAGATGAGGTACCCTAAAATTTCCCCTTTCAGATAAGGCAAGTGAGTCAGAAGATTCAGGTTACAGAGCCAAGACTAAAATCCATGTCCTGTGAATTAAAATCGATTTCACTCTACATTGCTTTTCAATGAGTCCCATTTACTTCTCCCACAGTATGAAGAATGCGTTTAAAAGGCAGATAGCATGATTCATAATGAAACTTTTTGACTAACAGTATTAACAGTTTCCCTTTAGCTGTCATATTTACTAAAAAAGAATCCCAAATAACTCTCAAAACTTTGGCTCCTTCCTAATGCTGACTCTATTAAAACTAATTTAAAGTACCTCTAATTACTTTTTTGGGGGTGACATAACAGATTATCTACATACCCTTCCTTTCTCCACGAGGTTTGTTATCATGACAATAACTTCCACATTATGTTCCCATATCATTCTCCAGAAATCTTCAGCTGTGGATTTCAGTGGGCCTTGGGCAGCAATATAAGCTTTTGGTCTGTTGTAGCCCTGAAGAATTAAATGACAAATGTTTCCTACTAACTGATTTATATGTCATCTTTAACTGTACAATGCCTAAGTTTTTAAGGTCAGCATAATTTTTCGTAAAAGAAAACCATAAAAAATAAACTTGCAAAGTTGGAGAAATTTGATGGTACCAACTAAGATAGCTACTCTTGGTTAGAAAATACTCTTGGTTAGGAAGCAGAAGGATCCCTATCATTTTTGTAAAAAAAAAAAAAAAAAAAAAAAAAGAATAGCTCTCTTTGCTTTGACACAACTATAATTCTGTGCATTTGTATTCCAAGTGTATTTAATCCATTTGCGGTCTACTTGCTATGCTTAAAATCAAGTCTTTAATAGCACTGCTTTGAAATGTATTTTAGGCACTGGGCTCAGATGTCTACAACAGCTTAAAAAAGCATCTGGAGTGTAACCTCCTTACTCTACTTCAACGTGCTGAGAAGTGCTAATCATTATTAGCAATTCGTCACTGTGTCCCATTTTGTACAAGATGTTTTATGGGCATAATATGGATTGGCTGTTTTCCCACCCAAATCTCATCTTAAATTGTAGTTTCCATAATTCCTGTGTGTTGTGGGAGGAACCAGGTGGAAATAATGGAATCATGAGGGTGATTTCCCCCACGCTGTTCTCGTGAGAGTGAGTGAGTTCTCATGAGATCTGATGGTTATAAAAAGGGCTTTCCTCCTTACTGGGCACTCATTCTCTCTCCTGCCATTCTGTGAAGAGGTGCCTTTCACCATGACTGTAAGTTTCCCGAGACCTCCCTAGCCATGCAGAACTATGAGAAAATTAAACCTCTTTTCTTTATAAATTACCCAGTCTTGGGTATTCCTTCATAGCAGTGTCCTTCATAGACTAATACAGAACGTGAACCTTAATCTTTCATCTATGCAAAATGGAAGCATCAACCCTGATGTGGAGATGAGGAACCTAAAGCTCAGAGGAGTTAAGTGGCTTTCCAAAGTCCCACAGCTAGCCAGTGGCAGAGATGGGATTCAAAATCAGTTCTAACTCCAGATCTCATGTTCATTCTGACATGCATATTTCCTCCTCAGGAAGCATGAAACAGTTGCCTGTAACAAACCCACTTTATACTTATGTACTCATTTATTTGAATTCAGTATTCCACACAGTATTAACCTGAAGCCAGCTAGACTGAGAGGTGCATCTTAGGGAAGTAATTGAGTTCTGCTGACATTCAGGTGATCACAGTGAAAAACCAATTTAGTTAGTGAGCGGTCTACAGTCTCTGGAGAGTCCCAGTAAGTTCCACAAAGCTGGGTATCCTGAGGAATACCCAAAATTATAAAGGTTGATAACTGGATTAATAATCATGTTTGCCTTTTAATCAGTACTACTATGGAAATTTTTTGTTCATCAGCTAAATGCACATCCTTGTGCCAGGAGCTATGGGAAACTTAAAATAAGCCTTGGCCCTGCCCTTCACATTTTTTTTTTTTCTGAGACGGAGTCTCACTCTGTTGCCCAGGCTGGAGTGCAGAAGTGCGATCTCGGCTCACTGCAAACTCTGCCTCCCGGGTTCACGCCATTCTCCTGCCTCAGCCTCCCGAGTAGCTGGGACTACAGGCGCCCGCCACAACGCCCAGCTAATTTTTTTTTGTATTTTTAGTAGAGATGGGGTTTCACCGTGTTAGCTAGGATGGTCTCGATCTTCTGACCTCGTGATCCGCCTGCCTCAGCCTCCCAAAGTTCTGGGATTACAGGCGTGAGCCACCGCGCCCAGCCCTGCCCTTCACATCTAAAGAGTTAGAAACCTATCTGAATCTACCTATTCCACCCTGAAGGTACACTCCCATCATGAATTCCTTTCCTCACTCAGGAGATAAACCAAGTAAAATAGCTTGAATGTCATTTAATATGAAAATTTTTAGTCATAGGCTCTCTTAAAAATTATTTACTGTTACTTTACCATTTTTATTCTCTATCGAATAACATGACATTAAGCACTAGTATATGTATGCATGTATGGCATTATGGTATAATAATTCAGTCTAATATGATTTCTATAAAATTTTCAATTAAAACATGCTTACATCAACATAATTGGCATTGATATAATCAGTCAGTTTGCCATCCTTTTCAGCAAGCTGTGCTAGCTTAACCCTGCTATGATCATCTGTAATATAAAGAGAATATATTTCATTGTAGCACAGACTACTTTTCAGCACAAAGATAATTCATATTTGCATAATAATTTATTTCATTCAATTAAAATCAACACAAGCAATCATTTACTTTCATAGGCTTTTTGGGGATACAGAGACAGCAAAGAAAACAAAGACAAATATAAAAAGAATCTCCACCCTCAGGAACATTTCTAAGGTAATAGGTGAAACTAGGGTATATACACAGGTGTCAAGTGAGAGGTGCAATGTAGTGGAGGGATATGAAAACAGAAATTGTTTTAGTTTGAGATAAAAGTTTCTATAGAGGTTGACATCTGAAGTTGGTCTTTTAAATGGAATTTTAAGGTTGGTTACAAGGGCTGTGAACAGTGGAGAGCTTCTCGAAGAGATAAAAATGTGATGGGTGGGGAGGCTCACAAAGCTAGGTAAGGATGAACAGGAGGCTGATGAAGGAAGAAGAGATAGAGAAGAAAGCCAAAGGTTCCCTAGGAAGTTTCTGTGAATGGTTACAGCAAACAGCTCTTTCAGGAGGAGCCTCAAAGAGAAACTGCTTCAAAAGGAGGCAGGAGAACAGCTGCTCAAGCACAGAGGAGGTAGATAGCACACTGCCAGTGAAAACAGGATGGATGCAAAATCTGGTAAATGATATAAGGTATAACTATGGTAATTCAAAGTATGATTACAGGAGTTTGAGATTAAATTCAGTTCTACAGAAAAACTATTTATTTGGAGAAAATACATATGAGAAATAAAGTATTACTTGAAGGAAACATGGCAGTTTCACTGAGAAGATTATTCTTTTCAAGGATGAAGAAGTGAATACAGACCAAACCAAAACAAGTTAAAGAGATACTCTGGGATATGAATACTTCTGTGATGGTAACAGGTCACACTGATACAGGAATGTATGTGCAAATGGAAGTATGGCAACTGACAGATGGGTCTCAATGTCAGGGTGACCTATTTTTGTAGTTTGGTTTTAATAGTTTTAGAATTTCTGGATTGTTTTTCTTTATCTCTAAAATTGGACAATTTCCTATCTTGCCTGGTTGTTTCAGGGATTAAATGAAATAACTTATTTACAGTGCCAGCCACATAGTAGGTAGGTGTTCATCAAATGTTAATCTCTGTCTCCTTCTTAATTACCTGATGCGTATGTTCTATTTAGCTTGTAGAGGAAAGTCTAATAATTTTATCTCAAGAAGCAAGTGAGTTTTATGTGTAGCCAGGATAGACGCAGTTCAGGAAGACAAACATAAAGCCCTCTACTAAAAAATAAAAATTAGTGTAAACTCTGTGGAAAGAATGGCAACATCTATACAAACTATATAAGAGATCATGATAGTAACAGGGAGAAGAGTGCAGCTCCATTGGCTTTCAGAACTAGAATGAAACCAGAATTTAAATAACCTCGTTGGTAATACCATGGTCCTATGAAGCCAGGAAGGGCCACACCACTGAATATATAGAAAGGGTATAAGTAGAATGTTTATTTGTTTGTTTGTTTGTTTTTGGAGTGGGGAGGGAGCACGAAGATGAATTTTAGGAGATGAAGGGGAATATAAACAAAAATAAGAGGGAACAAATGCAACCAGAAGTGCTATAAGAAGACAGAAGAAAGACAATAATTTCATAGAGAAATATTACGTAAAATTGCACTAATGAAAAAAGCCAGATAGCTGCTCATTGAGGAGAAAGGGAGAGAGAAAGGCTAAGAAAACAAAGAGAAAGAAAGAATTAAAAGAAAGAATCCAACTAATTCTTTATAAGACCCCAGGAAGAATGCCAAGAAAGGGAGGAAACAGGTAAAGGTAGAAGAAAAAAGAGAAAGTTTAAAGAAAATGTAATTCGGTTGGTAAATTCACATAAGAGTAAGCAAATCCTAGGTGAAAATAGGACCAAGTCATATAAATAATGACAAAAACCACCAAGGGAGATGAACAGTCTATGAAAGAAAGAACAAAAGAAAGAATTGGATTAAAATTCTAAGTTTGTTTTGTTTAAATAAAACAGATGTTATTAATTGCAGAAGGTATTTAAGTCAGAGTGATATAATGCTACATATTATCTAACACAAGTCTTATTATTCCCTGATAAAAAGGCCCCAAACAGCCACACTAAGGTCAGCTCTCAGATGACTTCAGGACACTTTTAAAAGGCACCAAAATGGCAATGATATTGAAGTCAGAGCTGATTTAAGAATATACTTACAGGCAACGATATTTATGTATCGATTCTTGTGCTTGTTGTCTGGGTGGTTGGAGCTGTCTGCTGTAATACCTAAGTCAACAGTACAGCTCTGCACTTCCTGTAAAAAATTATATGTAAATCATTTTAACACACATTCTTTCAAACAACGTGCCTTAAAATATAATAACGAAGACAAAACAAACAAAATAATCTATCAAATGAAATTTTTTAAAAGTTACAACTACTTCTTGGCTAAAAGAAAATGCAGTGAAATAATGCCTTACCTGGTAAAACTCTTTCAGTGTCTAATGAGGGAATGAATGCCAAAAAAGTAAAGAAATCAAATTCCACAGCACACGACAAATGAGAAAAAAAAGCGTTCATATTAGGTTTACAATGGAAAACTATGATCATGCAATAAATACATTTGTCAAATACTAACACAACAGAATGTTTCAAACAGTTGCATGCAAATCAAAATGTCTAATAATTTGGAACTTTAAAATTATGTAAAAGAAAACATAACACTTTTAAAAGGAGATAGTGATGTCATAATATGATGATTTTAAAAATGCAGATGAGAGGAACCACATATTCCATGATACATTTTGTCATATTAGTCAGATTGGCTAATATCCAAATTTTATTTTATTTGACCATAGTAGCACTATTTGAAACTCTGAATTAGTGATGTGCTTTTTTGTTTTTATTTTTTGGGGGGTTACTTTAAAAAGTAAACAGCTTCCTATTAGGTGGTTTGTAACAGATTTAAGGCTATCAAAACATTAATCATTTCCTAAAAATTTTAAAAATCATACACATTACATCATTTTGAAACAAAATTTAGATAGCATAACACTCTAAATATTTAATTAGCAGACCTCTTTTTGTTTAAACTTCAGTAAGTAAAGAAAATTTATTTCTGCCCATTTTTTTATTAAAAATGAGTTAATATGCTTTCAGAAATATTTTCTATCTGTTTAGAATTTATAATTATTTAGTATTATATAATAAAATAAAAGCCTTATAATTTCTGAGAAAGTAGATAACCAAAATAAAAATCTGATTCATCAGCAAATGGCCCAATCTCCCTCCACATAACCTTTTAAGGCTTCTTTTGCAGCAAGTCATTCTGAACAATTAAAAGCAATTTGATGTAAGAACCACTTAAAAGGTATAACGCTATTAGTTACTAAGCTAATTATTCAGTTAATGTAAAATTTTCTTGAATCAGGCAGTGAGTTAAAAGAGATAGAATTAAGAAAAAACTTTAAAAGTGAAAACATGAAGTTATTTTATTAATTTAATTATTTTGGACTGCTTAATAATATTCAAAATGATTTTATAGTTATGAAAACCATGAATTTGTATATGTTGTCAGTAATTTATATTATAAATTGTCTATTTTTTCTTATTTTGTTAGATGTTAGCCTGATAATTTCTATCAGTTAACACTAAAATTAACATTGAGTTAACACTATAGCATGCGTAACCTCTAGCCTGTCAAAATAATAAAAAATAATTTGATGTTTTAGACATGTAATTATTTATATTATTCCACCCTACTTAGTACTGCCTCACACTGCTTTCTTATTCAATGTAGCTATGATTTAGATTTCTTTTAGAATTAAATAAATTGGCTTCTATTATTTTTAAATTAGTAAAAACATATCATACCTCTCTTTCTTTTGATTTCTTAAAGCTTTCTAATCTATAACATTTTGCCTCCCTAAATAAATAATGATGGGTGTGAGTCCTGGGAAGCAACTGCTGGGTGCAGTGGGGAAAGAAAATCAGGAGAGAGTGGATTTTGTGATTAGGCTTACAGCTCAAAGTACTTCAAAGAGGGAGGTCCGCAGAGCCACTGGGGTTAGGGGAGAGAGAAGCAAAAATGCAATATGAAGCTCTCTAGTGGGGAATGGCCAGCGGGGAGGCTGAAGACAGCCTTCCTGCTTACAGCTACAGTGGAAAGGACATGAGTTTTTAAATCACAGACTTAGGTTTGAATGGAACTCTGTTATTTATCAGTTGTTAATTAAATTCTATGAAGTTTGATTTCATCAATAATATGAATAGAAATAATAACAAGTAATTCCCAGAGATGGGTGAAAGTTGAATGTGAAAGCATGTAGTCCACTGACATGTAAGAAGGTGTTCACAAAGGGTAGCTTTTATTTTTTGTGGTTTTTATTGTTACCTTTGTGCTTACAGCTCTCTATTTTGAAAAATCTACTTAGCTGATAGTTCAGTGGGCCATGATAAATTTGCAGTAAATTTCTCTGCCCTTCTGTCTAAGAGTATTTTAACAGAATATCATTGGAAAAAACTTACTGATTTTGAAGTTCAAATTTTTTTTAGAAATGCATATTTTCTTGAAAAGAAGATACATTTTTACCTGGTATAATGTAAGTGTTATCTAAATGCTTTTGCATTAACACTGGTGTACAAATCACAGTTAAGAATTTTTATGTAATTTGGCTGGAAATCATGAAATTTAGTAGTTTAGTATAATTTATAGAATTTAGAAAATTAAAAAGAATCATTGTTATTAATTCAGATTTTAAAAAAGAATATTAAAGATTTGTACTTTATGGAAGAAAATGAACAATGTTTTTTATGTTTCCACCAGTACAACTTGGCTTTTAAAATAGAAAACCAATTGTCTAAATTATATAGTAACTATAACACATCTCCTAAACACATATGTAATTATGGAACTCATATTTTTACTAGAAGTGCAAATGGTTGCACTGTCTTTAGGTCAAGAAATAGCCTATTGCTGAATCTTTTAAATTTTACTATTTTCTATATTATTTAAAATAGACATATTAAAATCATACCTCAAATTCTTCAGTAAACCCACTACTTGCATGTAAATCTGCAACATGCTTTGGAAAGTGCTTTATTGGAATTGCTCCGACATCATCTACGTGAATAAAAAAATTGTGTTAGAGAGCATAATTTAACAGAAATAAACGTACCTATCACTTATAAAGTAGCTTCTGAAACAACTTCAATTATTTGTATAATTCTAACTAAATCTCAGCATTCAATTGTTAAGCAACAATTACCAATTTTCTCTACATTTATTATCAATCAAAACCTGTATTTCAGAAATCTGATTTGTTCAGCAATCTCTTTTCCATCTATACCTAAAGATAAAATCACTTATTTTCAATGTTAATTTATAAATACCACCATAGCCCCACTCCTTATCAGTGGACTGCATCTTTTGATGGACAACTTTCTTTAACATGCCTGGATGTTGCATGTAAATTCTGAGAAAAAATGTAGAAATAATATAGTTTCAATTTTAGTGTGGACCAAGCATAATAAATAGTGTAATTTCGGTTTTGTAAAACTGTACAATTTAATGTCTTACAGTCAAATAGATGTTTACATTTGAAAACATTTTTTCCTTCTCTCTGTAAATAATAGAAAACATTTATATGGAGAATTTCATTAAGGATAATGTCAAAAGCCTTTGGGACTTTTAATCTGTAAAATTTCAAGAATTCTAACTTGAAAATATGCTATGTAAACAAAGTCATTGGATCTGTTAATTAATTGTGAAGGGGCCAAATTATTTTAACTGGTTCTGATTTTTTTTTCTTTTCCTGGAAAGACTTTCTTAGACTGAATATATTACTAGTTCACAGTATGCAATTTTACAAGTGATTTCTCTGACAAGGAAACATCAAACACATTTCACTAGAAACAGTTATTTATAGCAACAGATGTTCAGCATTTAGGCCATCTAATATTTTAAAGCTTCAGTTACCAAGAATTTGCTGATAAAAAAAAACTGGAATCCATCTGTTCTCTCTCTTAGATGAGTGGATCTGAATACTAAAATTGAATTAGTCAGTCAAGCTTAAGAAACACTAGACAAAGGTGTAATTCTACCTTCACACTTATAGAAGGATCTTGCTTAGAAGCTTTTATAATTAGATAAGAAAACAGAAATGATTTGTCACATGTAAGTCATTAGTCCTAGTAAATGTCCTTCAAACCCCTTGATGTTATCCTGCACAGCCAACCTCCTTTCATAAGTAGACTAGTACCTTTTATTGACAGTCAGGTATTTTGGTAATTTCTTTTATTAATTGGTCTGCAAGTAAGTGAGACTAACATTCATTTTGCTTTCTGATTTTTACACGAAAACATGCATATTCAGGTGATCAAGAGGGAATCTTTGAGAACTGAACAAGTGAAATAAGGAGATGCCCTTGAATCACCACTCTTTTGACACTCAAAACAGGGGAGTTTGGATCTCCTGGACTAGGTCTGATTTTGTATTATTTTATTTGTTAAAAATAAACCATGTTGGACTTTGGATAAAATTTTAGTTAATCTGCATACCCATGCTGATGGGGTATGCAGAAGAGACATGTTTGGAAGTGAAGGGAATCAAAATGTAACAGATAACTGAGAGCTGTTGGTCTAAAAATTCTGAATATGGCAATGAGACACTGTGGTACTAAAATAATAGTATTTTAATGTAAACTAGAAAAACAAATAAAACAGTGGTGCTTAAAGACACAGACTTGACAAAAGAGGAAAAATAGCAAACACAATTCCTAAGTTTATAAGGCACAAAAAGAAAATATCATAGTTAAATATATATAAATAATATATATAACATATGACATAAACATATAACAAACATCAACATATAAATGTAAAATATAAATAAAATGTTTGACTTTTTTTCTGTTTTTTAAGTCATGAGATTTCAGAAGATAACATCCTGTAGAACTTGAGCCTCTAGCAATGGAATATGGAGCATCAGTCAGAGAATTTAAAAAGTGCCATCTGTGAAATGATCCCATAGATGACTTTCTCCTTTTGTATCCCTACTTTCTTAACTTCTCTTTCCTTTTATTGTCCTCTATTTCCCAGATCACACAATTCTAGACCACTATTTTTTGTTGCCACTTTTCAATCCAAGATGTTATAAAATGTTAATTAAATAAGTGGCTTGAATATGCAACATGTCCATGTAGCAAACCTGCACATGCACCCCTTGAATTTATATTAAAAATGAGTGGTTATGATTTTACTTATAGTGTAAACTCTAGGATTAATGGATGTCTCTATCAAAATGACCCTGGCTACCTTTGAATACTGTTATTCAGATAAATTATGATAAAAATAGCTAAAGTCTTCCCAAATATTCAACTGTTCAACATTTTGAGAGATTATTTCAAGCAACCATATATTGTTTGTGTTCATGGCTTTTCCTGCTATTACCACCACAATTTTATAGATCTTTTCTTCTAATGTAGGTTAAAAAAAAAAAACCCTTTTCTCACATAAACTCAAGTAATCAGAAAGGAACAAGACTTTATCCTTATTTTTGTCATTTTTTTCCCATCCACATTTTCTGCATTGACTTAATCTGACTTTTGTTGCTTGGGTTTCCATTAACATAATAGGAATAAGTAAAAGTCACCATTATTCTTAACTAATATTTTATTGCTATAAATGTTTATGTTTTTAACATAATACACCTGAACAATTATAAACTATTTTTGCAATATCATCTGTATGATTAAGAACGTTTAAAATTAATGAGGACAGAATATAAACCTGAGTACCTGGAACATAATGTAATAAATATTTGGGGCAACACAAAAATTTACTAATCTACATTATAGCAATTTGCATAGTGTCCCGATAAAAACAAACCTTTCAACATTGTGCTTTTTGTTCAACATCTACCAGCTACTCATGGTCACACTTTAAGCCATTACCTGAAATTGGAAAGATAGGTGTTGGAGGTGTGGATATAACTCTAGGGGATGTACTGTCCTCTAAGTAAAAGTGTGCAGTCTGGAAGCATTTCCTGGAAATAAAAGAACACAATTTATACTACTAGTTGCTATGGAAAATAAGACAATTTCTGAGCTGCTTGAAAATTTTGATAGAAATCTCCAGAATTAAAACAAAAGCAGGTATATACCCAGAAGAGGGATTGCTGGATCTACATCCATTTTAACAAGTCACAAGATGTTAAATTATAAAATTTATCTCAGTTTTACCTGTAGCAGATGCAGAAGAGCAAGTAGATATCAGGCATGCTAAAAGCACAGACAGAATTTGAAGTTGTAGCTGGGTTCAAAGTGATACTTTGTTAATATAGGAAACCTCAATGCCCTACATATTCTTCCACTGTGGCTATAATACCCAAAATGTCCTGCCATCTTGGATAGAGCCAGAGAAGAAAAGAAATAATGTCCAAAGCCATTTTCACTCAACATTCACTCAAATGACCATGTTCTTCTTAGCATATACAGCTGCTAGCAAAAAGCAGCAAGCTATGTAGAAATGAACTATGTAGAAATTACCTACACAGTCCATAGTACATAGAAATGAACTATGAACTACGTAGAAATGAAACTACACCGTGGTAACATTTTGATGAAAAAAGAAAGTGGCTTCATGCTGTAATAATGCAGGAGTGACAGAACTTAAATGAGAAAATAATGAGCATACAACCAAAAATAGGGGCGATTTTCTTCCCAACAGATGCTAGTCTTGTTGATGAGGGTTTCGAGAATGAATATATTCAGATTCAGTGACAACTATGATCTACAATATCACCTGAATCTATTTTCATTCGGATAATAAGAGTAGCATCTGGTAAGAGCACACCACAAACTATCGACAAGAGCAAAGAACCAACTACTGCTATAAAGTAAAGCCAACCATCTTTAATTTTAAAAATTGAATAATTAAAACTGCTAATGACACTCTTTGATGTAGGTCATTTAATTTATTTGGAGCAATATTCATGAGTGGTTAAATTGAAACACTTGAATTCTGTTTGACTGAAAACGACAATCTCACTTTCCATCTAAACCTTCAAGCTACAAGGCATTTATCCTAATGAGTTTTAATGTAACATTTGTTCTTATATAGTGACACACCTAAATCTTTATTTTTTTCTAGTAAATTAGTTCCTTTAGATAAAATTCTTGAATGGCTTCTCGCTGCAATTAGAATTACATTCAGTTATGTTAGCAAGGGCTTTAAGACCTTTTTAATCCCTGACCTGGCCCCCAACCTACTTCAGTAGCTTCCTTTCCTGCAACTCTCTCCCTCACCCACCAGGATCCAGCCCACACTGGTCCTCTCCTTCACCTCTGAAGAAGCCCTGTCAGTAGCTTTTCAGGGCCTTGACTCTTGCCATTCCCCCTGGCTTCCTGCCTCCTTCCCATCACTTTTGCATTGGCCCAAATGCCGCTCCCTCTGAGTTTTCCCCTGATCATGACAGCTAAGTGTCAGGCTATCTCACTAAGTCACTACTCTTTGCCTTTTTGTTTGCTCTGTGGCACATCACTATTTGAAATACTATTATGTTTTTATTTGTTTTATATGTTTATAATTGGTCTCTTCTTATCAGAATATAAGCCCCACAAGGCAAACTACTTTGTCTCAATCATTGCAGTGTTAGTCTTTAGTGCTCGGGAGCATGTGTGTCATGTTGGAGGTAACCCCGAAGCATTTCTCTGATGAATGAACTTCTATAAGTAGGAGTGGTGTAAAATTATATAGTTTACTTATAACCTTGATGTCACAAGCAAATAAACAAAAAACTTAAAGCAATGACGTACATAGCAAAATTAGTCATCTACTGTGGTAGTATAAGCCTTTGATAATCACACCTGAGAGAAGATATATTGAGAGAACACAGAAATATCTTCAAGAGAGAGCAGGTCGAATAAGAGAAAGGTGAGTGGATACAGAAACAAGTGTCAAAGGGACCCTCCTAACTAGGTTAATATCCTGGAAAATGGAGAGTATGGTAGACTGATGAGGAATGAGAGACATGAGGGCCACAGAAACTATCCTACAGAAGGCCCACATGAGCAGAAATGAAACCAGATTGTGGCAGAAACTATACAGAAAGTTTGGCTTATCTGTGCAACTATGAATGGAGCATATTCTGACATATTGATATGGAAACACTGGACTTGATACATGCTTTTAAGGTCACAGAATTAAAATCCCTTTGATTTCTCCAAAATACAGTTATACAAGCTGGTGAAATGTTTTAAAAAATATTTCAACGAATCTTAACGTTGTAAAATGCCTTTAAAAAGCTAGTGCAGTATCACAGCTGATACAAGAATCCCTTCAACAGCATCTCTAACCTATGGTTAAGAAGGTCCAGTTTGAATACCTTCAGTGAGAAGGAGATCACTCCTTTTGAATCCTCCTTATTTCCTAGATTTTATTTTTTCTTCTACTAACTCAAAACTCATTCCCTTCTAAGTATTTACAAATGGTACTCAAAGAATAGGTCTTCTTGATCCACTGTTAACAGCTCTAACGGGTTCATATCTATCCCCCTTTTACTTTTGCCCATATATTCTAGTTATATATTTTACAGATATTTAGATTATAATATCCAAGGCTTTTCAATACTTAAACCCTACCTGTCTGTGGTCCACACCCTGTTAGACTTTTCTTATTGAAGTTTATACTCTAACAATATAATCACATTGTAGATAAATAAACCTGCCTTTTCTCTCCTGACTCAGTATTTATCTATTCTGCTTTAAACATTCCTCTACTTCTAACCAAAATATCTCACTGGCCAATATGCCAGACAAACACTGCCTTCTTTCAAGACAGCTCAGAGGTATCTTCTCTGTGAAATGGCCTTTCATTTCCTAATCAGCCTTTAGCACCACAGCTTCTCCTTTTCCACTGCACCTAACCCAAATTTCTATTCACAAAAGCCTACATAAAGACTGTTTTGGCTGGGCGTGGTGGCTCATGCCTGTAATCCCAGCACTTTGGGAGGCCTAGGCAGGCAGATCACCAGAGGTCGGGAGTTCAAGACCAGTCTGACCAACATGGAGAAACCCTGTCTCTACTAAAAATACAAAAAATTAGCCGGGCATGGTGGCACATGCCTGTAATCCAAGCTACTCAAGAGGCTGAGGCAGAAGAATTGCTTGAACCAGGGAGGTGGAGGTTGCGGTGAGCTGAGATCGCACCATTGCACTCCAGCCTGGGCAACAGCAGTGAAACTCTGTCTCAAAAAAAAAAAAAAAAGAAAAAAAAAGAAAAGACTGTTTTGAAAAATACACCTAATCAATCTAAGAGTAATCTTCATTTCCTGGACATTATTCTACATTATTTATTTTAAGTATTTTTCTTAATTGGTGGTTAGTGTAATTGTTTTGTATTATATTTGTTTTGTGCTTATATCTTTATTACATTTTTAAAAGATGGGGCCGTATCTCTTGATTTTATGTAAACCCAACTCTTAATACTGTGCCAGGAGTAGAATAGGTGTTCAATATTTGTTGAATGATTAGATGGATTTCTAATAGCAAGTAAATCCCACCAATCATATGTTGTTCAGCTGCATCCTGGATTCCCTTACCTACCTTAGCCTCAATTGGGATAACTTGAAATCTCAAAACATTTTGGAAGGAGAGATAAGATATATAGGTAGAGAAGGATGGACGAATGGGTGGCTGGATGGGCAGATGGATCGATAGAGGATGTACCAATAACTATGACTGAATGGGAAGAAGGCAGCATCTCATAGAATATAAAATGGTAAATTAAAACATGTTGGCATTGAGGTTGAATATGTTGCTAGTGTTCACAGTAGTGTGGGTAAACACCAATTCTACTCTTGTCACAAACAAATAAACAAATCTGTAATCAAATCTTTGTTGGTTCTAGAAAATAAGTAGCCCAATAACCCTATTTGGCATTAATTTCCCTAAAAGACCTTATAAATAATACCAAAAAGCTTGTAAGTAAAAAAAAAAAATTAAAATAGTATAGGCTAAATTATGGATGAAGGTCATTTGCATATTGGTTAGGTATACTTTGTAGTGCAGTTTTATATAGCAAGTGACACTACACTTAAAAGGCAATCTGGTACCAGAAGACCTCCATTCTGGGTTAGTAGACATCTTCAATGATCCACAAATTCAAGTTTAAGATCAAGAGAGAATTCATATTGCTTTTCATCTCCCTACCCCCAGCCAAAACAATTGTGTTTATGTGAAGTCCTTTTCTATATTGCTTTTGATAGTGTGCCATTTGGTTGGGTATACCTTTGGTACTTTTTAGGTTCCAACTCTTAAAAAAGCTTTCAAAAATTTGCCTTAAAAAAAAAAAAACTTTTGAAAATCTTCCCTGTTGAAGTCATTTTTGCATCTTAGAAACTTATGGTATGGCCCATGTAAATTATACCATAAAACATCTGGAAAATGATTTCAAGGCATATTATTTAATGTATGACAAGATTCAGTATCTGTAGTCCATCTGTTCAGTATAAGCAGTGAATGTCTTCACGTCTATGTGCTAAGTGTTGATAACTACGTCACCTGCTAATTATCCATCAGGCATGATGAAAAAAGTGATGACTGTCTTAAACTTGTAGACATAGGTCCTATCAATCAATGGTAATCTGATTATTTGGTTTACGCCTTTTCATCACAGTATTTATAATGAAAACCTAGAAATGTGTATTATTCTATTCCTGGGTCTGGCTACAATCTTTTTTTTTTTTATATATATATAATTATATATAAAATTATACATATAATATATAATTATATATAAAATTATACATATAATATATATTATATATAAAATTATACATTATATATATAATTATATATAAAATTATACATATAATATATATAATTATATATAAAATTATACATATAATATATAAAATTATATATAAAATTATACATATAATATATATAATTATATATAAAATTATACATATAATATATATAATTATATATAAAATTATACATATAATATATATAATTATATATAAAATTATACATATAATATATATAATTATATATAAAATTATATATATATAATTATATATAAAATTATACATATATATAATTATATATAAAATTATATATATATATAAATCCCAAAGTTTTGGGATTACAGGCATGAGCCACCATGCCTCGCTGGCTACAATCTTAAAGATGATCTAGTGAACCTACCCAAATGGTAAACAGGAGAAACCAAGTCCTAGGTGGGTAATTGACATGCCCAAGGCCATATAGCAAATGCCGGGCAGAACTAGGAAAGAGATCTGGATTTTCTCACTTTGAATTTGTTCTGTCTTTTGGCTAAAATCTGCTTCCTCTGAAAGTTTATACAAAAAATAAGGGGAATATCTTGAGTTAGGTAAATTAGGTGAAATAGCAGATTTATTATAAAACTTTGAGATTAATTTCTCATTAAAATAGGTTAGAAACATACTTAAATATTTTCTTCTAAGAATTTTATAGTTCTTACACTGATGTCTATGGTCCCTATGAGTTCATTTTTGTGTATAGTGTTAGAAAAAGGTTTAATTTGACTTTTTGTATGTGAATATTCAATTGTCCTAGCACCATCTGTTGGAAGGACTATTCTTTGCCCATTGAAAAGTCTTTGGATCCTTGTCTAAAATCCACTGATCGTAAACATAAGATTTCTGGGTTCTCAGTTCGATTCCATTGATCTATATGTCTATTCTTATGGCAGTACCAGACTCTCTTGATTCCTGTAGCTTTCAATTAAAGTTTTGCAACTGGGAAGCATGAGTCCTTTAATTTTGTTAAATTCTTAGACAAAAATCTAGGAGTAAATCCATGTGGTGCTGGGTTAGGCAATGCCTTCTTAGATATGATACTGAAGGTGCAAGCAATAAGAGAAAAAATAGATGAATTTGGCCTCATCAAAATTAAAAACTTTTCTACTTTAAAAAAGATACCATCATGAAAGTGAGAAGATAACTCACAGAATGGGAAAAAATAATTGCAAATCAGATATCTGATAAGGGACTTGTATCTAGAATATATAAAAACACACAACTCAGGTTCTCCTCTTTCAGCTTTGGAGGCCCCCTCCCTCTGTCTCTGTACGGGGAGCTTCTTCCTTCTGCCTTCTCCCATCTTTCTTACCTATTAAACTCTCTGCTCCTTAAAACAAAACAAACAAACAAAACCACAACTCAATAATAGAAAGACAAATAACCCAATTAAAAAATAGGCAGCAAAGGATTTGAATACACATTTATCAAAAAAAGATATACAACTGTCCAACAAGCACATGAAAAAACACTTAACATCATTAGTCATTATGGAAATAGTAGAACACTTTAAAAACCATTGAATCATACACTTTAAAAAGGTGAGTTTTATGATATTTCAATATTACCTAATTAAGCTGTTTAAAAAAGTTTAAATATATAAACTTGGAAAAATTCTTAAGGACTTCATTACCATTAGGACTGTTATTGGTACGACATTAGATTTTTAAACCTTTTCTCAAGCTGTAGCTTTTACAAAGGTCTAAAATGTTTATATATTGGCTAGTGAAATCATATTGTTTACAAATGTAGCTTCACTGGAATTTGAATAATTCACATAAACCTTGAAGAATTAACTAAAACTATCATCTTGTGATTCAGCACATAATACCCCTAGCATATGATGATATGAAAATTTATATTTTTTAGTGAATTAACTTCAAACAGATGTTAGTAGGTCAGATATCTAACACTACTTAACATTTCAAAATAAGTAAAGATTGACAATTTTTATCAGAACATTTAATAGATATAAAACATATACATAAAACCATCAAAGTGATTTTTTTTTTGAGACAGTGTCTTACTTTGTCGCCCAGGCTGGAGTGCAGTGGCATAATCACAGCTCACTGTAACCTTGACTCCTGGGCTCAAGTGATCCTCCAGCCTCAGCCTCCTGGGAAGCTGGGAGTATGACATGCCCTACCATGCCCAGCTAAATTGTTTATTTTTATTGTTTTTGTAGAGATGGAGGTCTCACTATGTTTCCTGGGCTGGTCTCAAACTCACGGCCTCAAGTGATCTACTTACTTCACCTTTGCAAATTGCTGGGATTACAGGTGTGAGCCACTGTGCCTGGCCAAAATACTCATATATATTTTACACTATGACACTCTGCATTCAAGGTACCTAAAGTGTTATTTGTGAAGAAAAAAGAAATATCTTATTGAAGGTCAAATTAATATATTTTTGACTGGTAATTTTATCTTTTCCCCATATAATGCAGATGAAATGACACATTATTAATAGAAGATAGAAACCTCTCTAAATTTTAATTTTCCATGAAATATCAAATTGTATTAAATAAGATACTGATTTCCAAATTTTCAGAAAATATACTTGAAAAGTAACACAGATTAAGAAACGAATTTCAATCTTATAATTATAAACCATCTGACATCTTTATTGGAACTTTGTACTAGCACTATTTACTATGAAGCAGAATTGGTCATATTCTCCATCTTATTTTCAATTCTTAACACTGACTCCCATTAATTAAAAAGGTAGTTTGGTAGGGAAAATCAGATTAGATAGAAACCTGTAATCTGAATACACATATCAATGTGGTAAAAAATTTGGTCAACAAGTTCAGTGGGGAACGGGGAGAAAAGCAATATTTATTTTTGTTGAACACACATTTATGGATTATGGATTAGGTTCAAAGCACTCTGCTAAGCATGAACCCTTTAGCAAAAAAAAAAAAGAATCTTTGGCAATTATTGGAATCACCGGGATACAGACTAAAGAAACCAGGTTTGTTTGTTTCTTATTATAACAAAATAGACTCCTGACCCATGTGGGGTAACAAAAGCATGATCTGTTCTCCATAGTGTGCAGTCTACTCTGTTCTAGTAAAGGAAGTCAGATATGAAATACAGTTGATCATGAAGACATTCTACCCTAGCCAACCAATGTCCAACTACATGCAACTATTAATACATGCTCCAGACCTCACTGTGTCCGAAACATCCAATAGCTTTTACTCAAAAGACAGCTCATTTCTACTTCCCGATCTTTGCACCTGCTGTGTCCCTGCCTGGAATGCCCTTTTCCTTTCCTTTCTGACTCCCACAGAGCTTGAGTCCTACATTTTAGTTTACACTTGCCCTGAGCATTCTGGCCTACCAAGCTTCTTTGTTCTCTGACTACTTTTAGCACTAGATTTCAACTGCTACGCATACACTTTTGTGTAATATTTTATACATTTTTATAACAAATTCTTCCCCCTCAATAAGCATATATTTCTTCAAATCACTGACTCTTTTTTCATTCATTTGTTCATTTTTGATATTTCCTGATGGTTAACACAGTACTAGGTATGTGGGAAACAATCAATAACAATGGTAAATATTTCAGAAAAAAACACGAGAATATATTTTGAGAGAACACATAAAGAGTGCTGATACAAAGTTACAGAATGATGTTGCTAAACAAAAAAATTATGTATCTTCTGAACAAAATTCTTTTTTAAAATAAAAGTATGCTATACTTTATAAAAGTACTATGCTATGCCCTTTCTTGGTTTACACATATGATTCCTTATATCATCATAAAGCCTTTGTTTTCTAACAGACACAGTTATACTGACCTATGTTCCTCATAAATACACTAATTTGCTGTGTGTTCTGCTTTCCACAGGATGGAAATTTTATGATGGGTACAATTATTCTTGTCTTTAGGGACTTAATAGATTATTGACAGCGAAGCTATATTTCATCCCCAAAGCAAATTATATGTATCTTAAATGCCTGTGCATCTTAAGATAGTCATTAGCTGTAGTCTCTAATTATATTTATAGTTTAATTGCTTGATTTTACTTTTATGCACAGGTTATCATTTTTATCAGTATGTGCAGTTAATACACATCTTGTACAAACTCTTCTGTCATTGAAAAACAATACTTGTTATTATATAAAAAATGTTTTCTTAATTTTTGGAATTATAACAACTAACGAGAAGCTTAGACTTATGTTAAATGCTATGATGATATCTATTAATTAGATTAACATGAAAGTACAACTGTCAAAATACTGTGTTAAATAGTAACGGGTAAAAGTTTCTCCATTTTATCTTTAATTGATGTATGAAGAACAATTAACTCCTTCATTATTGTGCCTTTGGATTCACAAATTTACCTTGAATAAATTAATGGCAGCTCTCAGGTAAAATACATTTTGAATATGCTTTGAAGACCTTTCAGATGAAATATGGGCAAAATCTGAGTTTTATGAATTAAATTTTCCAAAACAAATACTCAACTTACCTCCAGTAGATGAGAATACCCACAAGAACCACTAGACAGATAAAAGTCAGGGCTGACACGATCACAAGGGGTATAACTGCCTTCTTCTCGGATTCCAACCCCTCAGCTAGACCAATACGAGACTCATGGCTACTATTACTGGCCTCTGTAGTCAGAGAAAATTGAGAGAATTGATATTTAAGGTGAAGGAAAAGTCACAGCATTTTTCAACTGATTAATTGCAACCTTCATTGCTGTTACTTACCTTTAAAATTTTGACTCTTTGATGCAAAGAATGTCTACAATTATAAGCCAATTTAATTAAAACAAAGTTTAAAATGTAAGGCAGGCTATTAGACAAGAAGAACTACAACATCCCAGCAGAGATTGGCACCCAGATAGGGGTGCCTTGGCAACAGGTAAGCATAATATTGCCTTGAAAAGCCTTGCTAAATAAGAAAAATCAAAGTAGTGTAATTTAAAAATCACTACTGATTTAAAATAGAATGGTCAGGAAAAACAGCGCTACTTACTGAATCACCATATATATTAATTTTCTAAAATAAATTTAAATAGGATTATTTTTAACCCTGCATTAGGTAAATAGTTAGAAGCAATTAATAATTTCATGAAGAAAAAAATCTTGGGATAACTCTTCTTATATTAGGATAACCTTTCAATCCAGTAATCGATTTCAATTTTAAATATAGATTGGTTTTAAATGTTATTTTGAATGTTCTTCTTACCCATTGTTTTATTCTACAAAAAAAAAAAAATGCAATTTCAGGTGAATTGGAGGAATATGTAGATCTAAGAAATTCTTCTGAAATATGCAAGTGTAAATAATTAAAAATCCGAATTTGGTCCTTGAGTTAATTTTAAAAGATGACACATGATTATTTTGGGGGCCAGTCAGGTACATTACTGTACTAGCACTTTGAAAATCACTTTAACTAGAGATTACCTTCCAAGTTGTTAAAAAAAGAGTTTCAGAACAGTGAGTGTTTGTGGCCAATAACAATCCTTCCTCTTTGCTTTGAGGTGTGTTCAGTGGGAAACCAAGATGACTGAGCATGAGAACGGTTTCTAACATTACAGCATGCTGACAGTGCTACAAAAAGCCCTTATATCTACCTGCAGACATTCTGAAAGAACCACATTTGAGTTTCCCATCAAAATCTACATGCCTTCTTATGCACTTGGCACTTCTGATGCTTAAGTAATAGGAGACAGAGAAACTTCACTTAACTTAAATATGTATTTAAGAAAATTGAGACTAATATAAGTGCACATATATAGCATTAAAATATATCTAATTGGAGAGAACTTAAGATTTAAAATAATAGCTTTCTTCTGTTGATCAAGGGTGATAGCAGAAAGGGACAGGAATTTAATCCATTAATAAAGGGAATGTATCAGGCTGGGCGTGGTGGCTCATGCCTGTAATCCCAGCACTTTGAGAGGCTGAGGCAGGCGGATCACTTGAGGTCAGGAGTTCAAGACCAGCCTGGCCAACATGGTGAAACCCCATCTCTACTAAAAAAAATAAAAAATACAAAAATTAGCCAGGCGTGGTGGTGCACACTTGTAATCCCAGCTACTTGGGAAGCTGAGTCAGGAGAATGGCCTGAACCCGGGAAGTAGAGGTTGCAGTGAGCTGAGATCACGCCACTGCACTACAGCCTGGGCAACAGAGTGAGACTCTATCTCAAAATAAATAAATAAATAAATAAATAAATAAATAAATAAATGTAATGTATCACAGGAATATAAATGGCACACACACTTCCCAAGATGTTTGGTCTTATAACTATAAATGCATTTACTAGGAAAAATGGAATTCAAAGGTGTGATTAAAAATCATAAAACTGTATAAAAAGTGAAAATGTTCTAAGCCAACTCAGCCCTGAGTTGTAGCTAATATTCTTGTGAGAAAAGCCCAAGACTCCATTTTTTAAAATGTTAATCCTAAGCTCTGGCCATTATTTTGTGGAGACTCATTTAGAATCATCTAGTCACCTAAATAACCTGATGGTGAATGCAATGAGCATTTCCTTATAAAATTTAGAAAAACATCTTATTTTATACATGGTTGTCTTCACAGTTTTTTCTATTGTAACTATTGTTACCTAGATGGAAAGTAAGTGTGTCAGTAATAAATGAAAACATTCACTTAGCAAAGTCCTTGGTACCTCATTTAGTACAAATGGTGGTTAATATTATTATCTATATCAGATTTTCTTGACGTTTGATCCCCAGAATAGCAGCATCAACATCATCATAACTTAGAAATGCAAATTTTAGGCTTCGCTCAAACCATACAAAATCTTCTGAACCAGAAACTCTGTGTGTAAGGGTCAGCAATTTGTGTTTTGACGAGTCCTCCAGTTGATTTTGATCTATGTTAAAGTTTGAGAACCAGTGATGTAGATTAATATATGTACGAAGTAAGCTTATATAATTATGCAGGTCTTCAATAGCCACAAATTTTCAAAGCAACATGTATATGGGTATATATATATATAATTACATATTTCATTTATATATGTATAGCATACATATATATGAGATATGTCCTATCATATATGTCATATATGTAAGATATATAATGCATTATATATGTAAATATACCATATACACATATTTATATACAGACACTGTATACACACATGCACACACATATAGTCTTGTGTATAAACTTTTCTCAAAAGTGCTCTGGGATATTTGATCTTAAATCCTTTAATTAAGGAGTCAGAATGATCAAACTATGGCATGAAACCTAGCTCTTTTACACAAAATAGGATATCTTATGAAAGCACAGACAATCAGTTGGTTGCTTTGTGTACTATAATGAGGAATTAATTTTACTGATTTTATTTTTATTTATTTGAGACTAAAATATCTCCTTGAGATGGCTCAGTAGTATATATGAGTTACCTAAATTAAAATATTTAATTAATAGGTAATTAAGAAATAAAAAACTAAGATTAACATTTTAAAAGATGTTTTGAGAATAAGATAGTATAATTTTGGTATTACAATTTAAGCATTACATTTATTTAATTGGCCCCTAACATGAAAGCATAATCTTTAAGAGATAGACATTTCCAGGCTCAGTTTTGTATTTACTCATGTGACCTGGATCAAATAATCTAGTATCTTTGGGTGTCAGTGTACTCATTTATAAATTGTGGATACTAATATTTGCCTTATCTATAGTATTTTAAAGAACACATCCTGTAAATTGTTCTGCATTCTAGAAATACACCATAAAATCTTAAGTTTCAGAGCTAGTCTGCATGCATTTGATAAAGGGATATATTCAATTATTGGATAAGACAGATTACATATGATTTTATAGATACAGTTTTAAAAATAGGCCAGAATTTTCCCCTAATCTTGTTTGATCTTATTTACTTCACTAATTATGTTACTTGATAATGTTGGATGTCATATTCATATTGTTTTATCCTAATTAGTGGGAGAACACACTCTTGATAATTAAATAAAACTAATTAGTGCACTGAAGAGAAATTTGCTAAGCTTTAGTCAATAATTTTAGGTTTAGCATCTCATTATATATATCCTTCTATAATAGCATAGTCTAGCAAGAACGTATCAATGTCACTACCTGGTAAGACAGATAGATGGATTCCTGATATTTTCTTTTAACATAAATCTAATGAAAACTAAAAAGCAGCTACTATAATTGAGAACAGATAACAGTTCATATATATGACAGCACTAATGACTATAGTGACCTATGGATTCATTATTCATTCTCACATATCAGCATTTAAGTGTTTAAAATGCAATGTTAAATAGGTATCAATTCAGAATACAGAAAAAGTTTTCTATCAAAATGTACAAACTTTTAATTGCTGCTGCACTGAAGAAAAAATATACAACTAATTAAAAAGATGAAATCGCAAAGAGGAAAAATATTCTAATGAGACTGATGTCTATGTTCTGGATTACAAATATTCACTTTTATACAATGAGTGCATTTTGTTACATTAGCCTATCATTTAACTTGATGTTAAGATTTAAATAGTTTCATTATTAAACTTTAAGATACGTTCACATTTAATAAAAGCAAATTATAAAATTCTTATGACCAATTCAATGAAAGTATTACTTTTCTATACTTAATAGGATTGAACTTCCCTCTTCTTTCCATTGGCATTTAAAGCAGACATCTGTATTATAAACACTGCACATAATCTGCTCTAAGAAACATCTGGTCAGTAAGCTAATTTGCATAAAATACATTCACAAATGAAATTCATTTCTACAGAAAAATGTTTAGTGTTTTACATCTTGTGATACAATACCTATACATACTGTACATATTAATGCCCATTATTTAACTTAAAAAAGTGTGTAACAGCAGGCATAAAGTAAAATGTATTTTGATGGTTTACACTGCCCTCTTTAGGCAACATTAAGATAAAGAAAGACAAAAAAATTAAAATTTTTTTTAACTTCATTATTAACTCTCAAAACTTAGTAATAAAACTAAATAAATAAATAAATACATAAATACCTCCCTGGCCTGGTGCAGTGGCTCACGCCTGTAATCCCAACATTTTGGGAGGCCGAGGCGGGTGGATCACGAGGTCAGGAGATCAAGACCATCCTGGCTAACATGGTGAAACCCCGTCTTTACTAAAAATACACAAAATTAGCCTGGCGTGGTGGTGGGCGCCTGTAGTCTCAGCTACTCGGGAGGCTGAGGCAGGAGAATGGCGTGAACCTGGGAGGCGGAGCTTGTAGTAAGCCGAGATTGCACCACTGCACTCCAGCCTGGGCGACAGAGCGAGACTCCGTCTCAAAATTAATTAATTAATTAATTAAATAATAATAATAAATAAAGCTCCCCAAGCTGATATGAATGTGGAAATTAACTAATTCCTTTCTACAGGGGTGTGTCAGAGAGAAGTGCTTATGTCACATTACTCTCAGATTTAATAATTCATTTTATAATTAAATAGAATTAGTTTACAACTTATTTTAGAACAAAAGTATGAAAATTAAAATCATCTAAAATAGCATACTCTGATCTTGCTTTAAAAGCAGTGTACTAAAAATGTATTATGCAAACAGAATTGCCCCCACCCATAAAAGACATCCTGTAGAGTATGAAATATTGACAATAAATAAAAATTGTTTTGTCTATTTTGGAGAGAATTAAATTAAAAACCAAAATGTGTTAAATAATTGTTTGAAATAATAAATAAAATTATACTTCAGAAACTGGAGACTGATTTGTTGAATGTTTTGATTTTAAAAATGATGATGTACCATTTTACCAAATTTCTATCTTTCTATAATTTTCATTTTACTTTTAGAGCAAGCAAACCACCACACCTCAATCTGTCCTTCTGATCCGTAACTAACCTGCCTCTGAAACGTGGAACACTTCTGAGTTCTCGCTAGTAACAGATGATGTTGGGGACTGTGGGAATCCAGGAGTTATTTCTGAGTCACCTGCTGCCAGGATCCCATCAGCATCTTTTTCATTAGTGTCTGCAAAACTGAAATCTGTGGAAGTCTCATTCTCATTAAGGCTATCTGAGGTACCTTGCCCTGATCCACTTTCTTCATCACTTGTCAGAACTGCCCATGCTTTAGATTCAGGGCTGAGAGGAAGCAGAGCACTACCAGTCTGAATGTCATTTTCCTCTTTTCCATCATTGTGCTTTTGGGATAGCCCATTTGCTGATGGTGATTTACCAGGACTTCTGTCCATACCAGTTTGACTGTCTGAGGATACACTTGTGACTCTATTATCTTCTTCAGAATTCTCAGATAGTGAGTATGAGATTGGATTATTCTGATCCATAAGACTGTTTTCGTGGGTGTCTGAATCATTCATTACCTTTTCCTGTGATTCTCTATAGGATGAGCATGACATACACTTATGAATGGATAAGCCATCACTACCTCTGTCATCATCATCATCATCACCATCATCATCAGTGTCACCATCTTCACCACCACCCACTAAACCGGCATCAGATTTGGCACTATGACTCAGCTCAGAAGTTGCCTTAGAAGGAAACAGCAACTTTGTTGAGGTTACAGAACCATCTCTGTGGGGAGAAACAGCTGTAATGGCAACATGCCCATTTCCTATAGGAACAGAATGATCAGTAGATACAAATGTATCAGAAGCAACTGTTGGAATACCAGCAAATACCTTACCAGTAACAGAACTTTTGGTGGAGGTTAAAATTTCATCGGAATGTATAAGCTTATTTATTAGTGTATTTAATGGTTCATCAATTGATAAAACAGGTGTAGCAAATACATGCCTTCCTTTTGGGGGATGGGCCTGGTTAATCTCCAAATTGGCCGTTTGGAACAACTCATCATTACTGTACAAAGAAGGTACCACTTGGTGGGAACTTTCACTTTTTAACAAAACTGGTTCATATTTCTCACTTGCATAGGAAATGGTCAAACCTTGAAGTGAAGCAGAGTGCATATGAGAAGTAGGCGACACATCAAAAACTGGTACAGATGTAGAGTGCAGCATGTTTTCACTTGAAGCAGAATTTGATACAATGAGATGCAACATTGTAGAACTAATTTTATCAACTTTGGGGGTTTCAACCAATATTGGATCACTGGGCACAGCTGGAAGAACAGTTTTAAGCAAGGTGTCAACATCAGAAGCCTGAAAGGAAGGTTGTAGCAATACTTCAGTACTAAAAGAAGCTGAGGTCTCATAAAATAAGAGCTGAGTTGAAGGAGATAACATTTCACTAGAAGCAGGGTCAGAGGATGCTGGCTCTGAGTTTGCACTAAGCACAGGTTTAAGCGAAGTGTCACCAGATGCTTGAGAGACAGTATGTGTAGGTTGAACTGAAAAGTTATTTTCTGGAACTTGACTAATCTCATGATCAAAAACCTTAGTGGTGGTATGAGCAAGGGACCCTGGAAACATGCCCTTGGTGCTAGAAATGGAAACAGAGGTTTCTTGTAAAGACGCATTCAACTTATTTACATTATCATACATGTTGGGCATGACTGTGCTTTCAGAAGGGTAAACCATCTCATTGAAAGAAGGAATTTGCAGTTCAGTCTCATTTCCATATATTATTTCACTTTTAGAAAGCGCCTTATTATCATCACCAAACACAGATGTTGTATATGTAAATTCAGCTACAGAAACAGGTGAAGAAATGTTAAGGGCTGTCAGCCCATCTGTGTCAGGTAAAAGAAATTCACTATCAGAAGAGGCTCCAGACCATTCCCCATCACCAGAGAGGGCATGAGTAGGCTGCAGTAATGATGCAGTTGGGGTTATTAACGAAGACTTAGGTATTGGTATATGGCTAGGGCCGCTAAATAAGGAACCCTGATAAGTTACACCCACAGAATCATGCACAGGTATTGCAGAACTGTAAGAAACAGTGAAGATGTGTTGGGAGCCCTCATTATCAGACAAGGCATAAGAAGGTTCAGGCCCTGAAGAACGTGCATGCATCATGGCATCACTGCTGGGTGGTTCAACTTGAGAAAACATAAGCGTTTTATAAAGAACACCAGATTCACTACCAAATTCCAGCGTCTCTGAAGCAGCATGAGTAGTGGACAGCACATCAGAATACTGAGCAAGGCTGGGCTCTAATAGCAAATCACCCCCAGCCACTGGCAGAGAAGCATGCAAGGGCACCTTATCACTCTCGGTAGCTGAAGTAACTTGTGGAAGGATTTGAGAAACTGTATGCAGATGGCGAAACAATTCACTACTGAAGGAAGCAGAGGAAAATGGAAGCAAAGGTGCACCATCATAGGAAGACAGGATGGATTCAAATGACACATCGACACTGGGAAATACAGGCGTAGCATGCAAGGCCGAATCACTACTTGAAGCAGCAGGGGTAGTGTTGAGGATCTGATTGTCAAGCAACAAAGGGGTGACTAGAGGAAAGACTTCACTACTGTAGGAAGGTTGAAGAGGTGTCTCACCATTGTATACCGGTTGGGTTGTCTGCGAGTATACCACGTTGACCGTGGAGACCAAATCCTGTTGTCTGGAGGATGGGGTAAAAGCATGAGGTGTTACCTCAGTTGGGAAGTAGGCAAAGGTAGAATAATGTGGCATTTCCAGATCTGTAACTGAGGGACCCTGTGACATCACTGGGCCTGCAGAAAAGGACTTGGTTGTCTTCTCAGATTCATCAACACGTATCTCAGTGTAATTAGTCTGGAGAAAGCTCTCTCTGCCTGATCCAACATCGGGCTGTGCTGTTATGTCTGTAGAGCTAGGAAACCACACATTTCCCTCCATAGAAGGATCCTTTAGTGATTCTTCTGAACCTGATGAAGTTGAATCTTCGGAAGCATTTCTAGCAGATTCTGGTATAAGGACATCATATGTTATTGTCTCTGGGTTTTCGGAGGAAAATATATACCCTTGGGATATGTTCTCAGAGATGAATGGGATAGCAGAAGTTGCGGGACTGGAGCCTGAAGAATCTTCAGCTCCAGTATCAAGCTTGAAACTGGTCAATAAACTCTCCTCCTCATATTCTGTTATAGAAACTGTATTTAAGGATTCTGCAGTCCCCGACAAGTTCATATGTGGAGATCTAAGAACAGTTTTAGAGCCATCATTTAAAGAGGCTGAAGTACCTTCCACAGTGTGAGGTGGCAGTTCAGTCACAGTCTGAGAAGTCAAGGAAATATCTTTTTCTGTGGCTAATTTAGTGACTGGTTGGGAAGTGGAATTTAAAGATGTATTGGGAACATCACCCTTTCCAGAGAATTCACTTCCTCTTGTTGGGGATCGGTTAGTCTTGGCTTCATTGTATTTCGTCCCTATGCGATTGTAGTGTGTTGTGGTAGAAATCTGGGGTTCCTTTTTCCTGATTTGGTTTGTAGCACTGTCTCTACCAGGATTCACAATAGCGCCTTCTTCAATGTCTTTTCCCTCTTCCTCCTCCTTTGAAAAGCAAACAAGATTTAATGAGTCATAAGGAAATAAGAGAAAAAGAAAATCTTCATATCTTACACTGCCAATCATCACTTGTGGTATCTTGGGAACTTCTCATCCTCATAAAACACCATTCTGTACAATGCATACCTCTAACCTACAACCTTTACCATCCGCTCTACAGGGGAGTAATTAAACGTAATGAAAACACCTAATTTATGGCCGCCTTTATTTTAATGCTATGGAAAGAAGTGGTTAAATGAATAGATACCACATATTTAAAAGGAAGACACACTGTAGTTATTTATTGACAGTGTTATTTAACATGGCATTTATTTTATTGTTTTTATATTTCTTTGTTCATCAGGCATCAAGGTAAATAGCCATTAGCTTATTGTAATAAGAATTGGCGATGAAACTATTTTAAAGACCAAAGTAGTTGAACATTCAGAATATTTAATTATATCTATTTAGAGCAAATCATAATTTTAAGGTCATAATAAGGGGAAGATTTAGAACTAAAAGAGGTGTTTGGTTTTCTTTTCCTTTTGTTTTTTAATATTTTCCACTTAAGACTTAGGCAGATATTTCAAAGGCAACTTGTCAATATATGATTCTACTCCTAGTTTTTTAATTTTGTGTTTCCCTTAGAATCACCATTCAGGAGGCTGAATCTTCCATGCAATGACCCAGGAGGAGACGTCTAGTCTTCTAGCTAGAAGTTAACCAAGACCTATGCTTTAAGCATAATCTTCATTGCATGGAAGATTCAATATATGTATATATATACATATACGTATATATACATAAAACTGGGTATATTATATCTAATTATATACTTAGAAAACTCAATTGCCAAAGTTATCAAGTTTTTTTTTTTTTTTTAGTTCATGTGGGACATGATTTTGTCAGTATCTTTGTACCCAACAGCTTGTTAGAATTGTCATTTATTTGATCATCTATTAGATATTTTAAGGCCATGTTCCTTAAAAGAAAAAAATTACTGAGTACAGCCATTGAGAACTTGACCAGTATCAGTAGAAAGAATCTGAATCTTAAGCTGTGTGTGCTCATGAGCATGTGTCATACACACGGAAATCTGCACTGTATGAAACACACGATTCCAAGCTTAATGGCTGCCTCATTATTTACAGCTTAATTATTTGGCTGGTCGTGAGTATCTTCTGAAGCATAAGTGACAACTTTAGGAAGTTAGTGCACTTGATCTGAATTATATTGAGTGCTAAAAATGGCTACTCTCTCAGATTCCCTTGAAAAATTTCCTTACAAGTAGTCAGTATTCTTTATGAAGTTTTACATTCTGTGTGATACCTTGTTCACAAGGACCACCTGAGAGATTTTCCCAAATAATTTCCTAAATAAAATATTCCTATAATCTACAAACCTAAAAACTTAATGCAAAAGGAAATGAGAATAATTTGCCTTGACTTGCTTTTAGGGAAAATTGGTTGGTGCCAATTATCTCTTCTTTCCTTAGAAGTTCTCATAAATATTTGTTTTATAATGTGATGCAGAGTTTTGCTGGGGATCAATGTTAAGCTTGGCAGTGTGGAGTTTCTAAACTCTTCCTTGTTTTTGCAAACCTAAATATTTGCCTAGTTTTCTGGTATCACTCCACACTCCTTCTCTCTACCAAAACTCTGTCAAACCTTCATTTTCCTATCCTTTCCTCCCATTCTCAGCAGATGGCCTTCCTGTTTTCAGGGAAAATAGAAGCCACCAAAGACACACTTCTTCTTAACATAAAAACAGGGACCAACCAAGTTATCTCTGCCCCTCCTGTCCTGTTATAACTAAAGAGTTGTTTTCCTTCCTTTCTAAAGCTAATTCGCACTTCTGTGTTTTAGATCTAGTCCCTATCATGAACCTGGGAATTGAACATAATTGAGTAGTTCAGTCTATTTTGTGTTTCTGATTTGTTTTCTCAAATTCTCAAACAGATAATTCTCATCAGCTTAAATCAACTCTGATCTCTCTTATTTAAAGGAAACACAAAGGAAAACCTCTAATTCACCTTCTAGTTATCATTCTACTTCTCGTCTCTCCTTCACAGCAAAAGTTCCCCAAAGATATGTCATCCATTTTCTCTATATGATCTAACAATGTCTATTGACTTCCACAATAATATTACATTTCTTTCTCTTTGCTTATATTTCCACATAAACATCCTTTATCATATCCTCCTATAAGCAATGTAAATTTTCATAAAATTTTTATTGTAACATAATGCTACACACCTCTTCTTATTACATAGTTGGGAAAAAACTATGCACACATCAGATACATATGCGTTCTATAAACTTTATGAGGTTCAGAACCTCTCAGAACCCAGTGAGGGTGATTAGACCTTCATTAATCCTACCCTACCATATCTTGTTGATCGCTGTAAGGTCACATTGGCTATGTCAACATTTTAAGAAGAACATATCATTCATACCCTATGATTACTTTATTCATATCTGACTACAAATATTTTAACAAATACTCTTTCCTACAATTTCTTTATAGAGTTATTGTGACTCTTCCACTGTAGTTTTGATCTGTGTCATATGTTATCCTTCACAACTTCATTTTTAAAAGTTAGTGTAAAGCCATGATCATGCTACAGATACTTTGTCTTGCAAAGTCATACATTTCTGTTTGGAGAGGATCTAAGAAATATCCTTCAAACTCTTTATTTCTATATTCAGGGATTAAAAGTCATTATGAATATATTCCATGCATTTTCCAGCCTGTCATTCATTCCTGCATGAAGCAAAGGAAGTGAATAGTGGATTGGTTAAGAAGTGTTTTCATCCCATCTCATAATCATGCTCCAGGAAGACATATTGTGACATGGGTCTCTTTCGATTTGACAATATATTATTAATACAATAGTTAATTTCAATAGCAAGAACTACTACCAATTTACCAAGCCAAGCTTACCAATCACTGCTCCTGTATCCTTTATTTTAAATCCCCATCTGTGTGGTGGTAGCTGGTTCCCTCCCCCTTGGCAGTGCCAAGGATTCTTCCAGCTCAAAGAATTAGAGCTGCTGTTTCTTTGGGTACTACCACCATGGGTAAAGCCCCACAAACCAAATAAGCCTAATGTCATAAGAATTCTTTCTCCTCCTCATTTTCCTCTAGATCATAGCCTTCTACCAACAAGTAATGACATTGATTTTTAATTCTACTCTGCTTTCTCAGGTGACTCCTTCCTCAGTGTGTTGTATATTCTCATTTTGCTTTCCACAGCCTCTCTCCACCTGTCTCCATTCATTCTAGGCGGGTGGCCAGATAATGTGGTTATTCCTTGGGAGGTTCCTTACCTAACTGGTCACCACAGGATGGTGCTGTCTCATTACAGAGGCCACAGCATCTGCTGTGCCATTCTCTCTGCACCTTCTCCTTGCCCTCTTGCCTTTCAGTTTAGATGTAACAACGAGTCCCTGATATAATTCATACCAAATGTACAATGCCACCCCTTGTTTGTTTGCATTAAGACTTCCCACACCTGTGAATCATCCTTTTTGATTAAATTAACCTCCATGACTCCACTTGAGTGTGGCATCTGTTTCCTGTTGAGACCTGGGCTGATGCACTGAGGCTTTTTTTTTCCTCCTATCTAGGAACTTTTCTCTGACTACAACAAGCCAGCCTGCTCACATATCTTCACATTCTTCTCTAACAGGAAGATCTGCTTGTGTTTGTCATATATGTACATGGCAAGACCAGAGGCACCATGACAGGAATAGCTTTAGGTATCTCTATTGTAGAGTGTATGACAAAAATAAAGATATACCTCCATTATGTAAGTGGAATAAGCCAGGAACAGAAAGATAAATACTGCATGTTCTCACTCTTATGTGGAAGCTAAAAAAGTTGATCTAATAGAAGTAGAGTGTAGAATAGTGGTTATTAGAGGCTGAGAAATGTAGTGGCGAGGGGGCGACAGGCAGAGATTGGTTAAATGATACAAAATTACAGCTAGATAGGAATAATAAGTTCTAGTGTTTGATAGCACTATAGGATGACTACAGTTAGCAATAATATATATTTTCAGATAGGTAGAAAAAAGGATCTCAAATGTTTCCAACACAGAAAAATGGTAAATGTTTGAGATAATGGATATGCAAACTACTCTGATTTGATCACTATATACCTCATAAATATGTAGAAGTATTATATGTCCATTAAAAAATGGAAAATATTTTAAAATGCATATAAAGTCACATGTGTAGCCTATTCACACAGCTAAATATTATACTAAATACAATATTATAGTTTTATGTAGAAATTTACTAGTAATTAACATTGGAAGATTTTAAATAACTTTTGTAGGCTTATGGTAAAAGTTGCCTTAGGGTTAATGGCAATAGAGAAGAAAAATAACTAAACATGGATCTTGTAACTAAAGTAACTAAGCATGGATCGTGAATCATGGTAATGGGAATTACTATGAAAAATAATTGATTGTTCCTTGGTCCTTTCTAAAAAGTCTGTGATGTGTAATACTTATATAAAAGACAGAACTTAAACAGAATATCATTTAATACATGGCACCAATTACTGAAAAAAGGGCTTACATCAGTATGTCAGACCCATTATTTGAATTAACAACTCAGCACAAATATAATTTCTTTTTTGACTTAATTCTGTTGATCGCTTGTATGTGTGTGTATATATACATATATATATATATCTCCATATGCATGTGAGCATGTATGTACATATACAAATAAAGTTATTCTTAGCTGAAATCTATAAACTCCTGTTACAAAGTAGACTGGTCATTTTGGTAAAATAGTCCCTTGTAAGAGAGACTAGCCATAAGATACATAAAATATCAAGATAGTTTATACCTATGAAAGACCTAATTGTTATTTATTGCTAGATAACAGCACTAGTTGTCACACTTTTATCAGCTCCTACACAATCTATACACATGTACACATTCGTATTATCATCAACAATAGCACCTGAACTGAATATATAATTTCAGTTATGATGAACAGCACATTAGGGCATATGATGAAATATAAAAGATATTAAACAATCATTTTCTCTCTATTTAAAAAAATAAAATAATGTTAAAATTTATAGTCTCAAATACCTATACATTTTATCTTTAAAAAGTATAGACTACTCGTAGTATAAGTGCCTGTTGTCAGCACAATGTTCTTTGAGTAAATTAATATTTATCAACTTAAATAATAAACAATTTAAATGGGCAAAAAATATATATACAATTTATATTTTGGGCCACATTTAGCGTTAATCTATCAATCGTTGGTTATTTATATATAAACTGTAGAATGTTAAGAACTGGTTAAATATAATTTTAGTTTTTCAGAAAAATTTGGAGACTAAAAAAATTCCAGTTTATAGCTGTAGTGCATAGCTATAATTATTTTTAAAGTTCATTGTTTTTTTCTTCATCACCATTTATATTTCTTGTTTTTTAGTACTATACCAATCAAAACATCTTTCAACTTCTTCATAAGAGAATCATGTATATAAATTATGTGACTATCTATATATAAAGCTTAGCAACTAACCCCACAAACAGTGAATCATACACACAACTTCTATTCATGTGGCAATACCTAACACCCAAGCAACAATTCAAAATAGACCATTTAATATTAAAACATTTGAATATAAAAATGGCTATGATACCTTGATTATTTCTTCAGTTCCAATTAATTCAGGGAAAAGATCAAGTTCTACAAAATTAAAAACAAAATTATTAAAGTTTTTATTCAACTATTTCGGCCTTTGTGGATTTACCTTTGGGTGAAAGAGAAAAAATTAAAAAGAATAAAAAAGTTAATGTCAGCTTTGAAAATACAGACTTTCTCACAATAAAAATTCCAAATTTTAGTTTTCAACATTACTGAACACTACAACACAACACTACATGAGCTTATATGTAACTCTACCCAAATCTTGATCTCTACCTCCCACTCCACTCCCTTCCCCATTTCCCCTGCCCCTAAGTCTGATTGAAGCTAAGAACGGAGAGGAGGTCAGTGAAACTGATAAAACTGAGTGTAAAGAAACGCAAATAATTTTTCATCAGTACAGAGTTATTTCATCCTTAGCAGGGCTGATAAAAGCATGGTTGGGGAAATGCCAGGGATTTTCTGGAGAATTGGTAGAATTTATTTTCTTATTTAGCAACCTCTTCCTTAAGTTTCTATTTTGACTGAGGGACAAATAATTATCTTTACTCCTCAAATCTGGCCTCATACCTATTTCTATACTGGGTGCTGCACCAGGTAAAATGAAGAGTGTTTTCCAGCAGGTTCCAGCCTTGCTGTCAGCAAGAAGAACTAACAGAGTGAATCTTGTGCATTCTCCCCAGGGAAACTCAGCTAATGCTGTCTACTTAAAGAATCTGATGACCACAATCATTCACGTCTGTTTGTCCCAACAAATCAGAATCAACATATATCTCAGTTCTAAAACAGGACCTGTCAGGGAATGTCAGGAAAGACTAAGCTGGTTCTTTCTCTCCTAAGAAGGAATCTAGCCACTCTACCACGTTACTGAGCGGCCAGAGAATTTTTCTTTAGTCTTGGTCTGAGCTGCCTGGGTCATTAGGAAAATGGTAGACAAAGTAACTGTGAGGTTTGAGCATTATTATAATGATGTTCTTCAAACTCCCATGCCTTTATGGAATCTCAGGCTATCGCCAAAATTTATGCTCTGCACTATCCTAATGCTGCTTATGTTCTATGTTTTATGTCCTCAAAGGAAATGCATACTCTATAGAAATTTCAAGGTATAACTGAACCAACATTAAATGTTGATCATACCCAGGTCTGTTTTCCAATACAAAGTTTCTTGCGTTTATTTTTTACCAAGACTGCTGGGTATTAATATATTGAAAACCATAAAATGAGAATTTATGTAAAATCTATTAAGCATGCCTAGCTTCCAAGAAGATTCAGATAAAGTTCATACTCTTGACAACTTAGCTGTTTCAAAATTACTTACCCTAAACAACTCCTGTAATTTAAAAAGGAAAGTACTCACTAGAAACAATCACAATCTTACTTTTAATTCTCACTTTTTTTCTCGTTAAAACTAACCATGAAGGACTTTGGAAATTTTATTTTGATCATTAGTGGTCTCCCAGTTCTATTTCTCTTCCTATGAAATCCTTTCCTCACTGTCTGTTCTTCATGCTCTTTATTCTTTACGTTTCCAAACTAAAGTGATTTCAATCATCTCAAACACTTGTGTCTTTGTAATCGCCATGCAAATTAATACATTTGAATTTAAAAATGAGATGCAACTAAACTGTGACAGACAAATGACCTTCCTTATGATTTTCTAAAAGCTATGACTAAAGAAGTTCATGCATATAAAAAATCTTCAAATTAAGCCCATTAGACAATACCTAGTTTTATTGAAAATAATTTGAAGTGTAGCCACTCTTTTTCATAGACTGTTGAAATATTTAATGCTCATAATGGCAAATCATAATCAAATACTTATTAGTGGTACACATACTGTAGGCTTTTCCTCTGCCAAGAGGCTATACAAAAATATCAAGTATTTTCCATTTGTTTCAACATGCCTAAGAAGGTGTTCAAAATTTTTAAAAAATGGTCTAACTCCACCTAACTTCATACTTTTAATGGGCAAATATAATTTTCTTATTTAATCGTAATAAGGGTTGGGGAAGGGTATGTATAACTATCACATTGAGGATTTATTTCCCTTTTTCTTTAATATTTTTAGTGTGTATTGCATTAGACTTATTTTTATCATTTTACCAGAGCATCAACTAACTATAGGGATTATGGTTTCTATTCTAGTAAATTACAATACAGGGTTTTAATCCAATCACATCCCCTAAAGAATATTAATGACTTATAATTGGATTGCTGTTTACTGTAATAAAAGCAAGACTTTTTCTTTGGGCCTCCTTGGCTCTGGGAAAACATGTGTAGGCCTAGGCACGTCTCCTTGGCACTCTCATGGGTGAGCACCCCCAAGTGTTAGCACATTCATATTACTGCATATAAAACCACCTTGAAGGCTCTTTATTCTGGTTTCCAACTGGACTGAGATCATTTGAACTGACTGAAATTCCCAGGAATACTTCAATACCTCTATTTCTTAGAATCCAGAAGTCTTTTGCTGAGTCTCTTCATAACAATTTTGAAATAAAATAATTTGGAAGATTGTTTCTATCTTCCTAAAGATTTTGAAGCCATAATTCTGGAACTGTGAATTCAACATCCTGAACTCAAAGTTTAGCTCTGCTGATGGGCACAAGCTCTCATATTGGGTACCCCTAAACCTGCTGCTTTCTCACAAGTAATAACTGATATTTTAGTAACCACTGGTTTGAGTCAGGCACTACCAATATATTAAATAGTTCAAAAATTATACTGGCTTATAGAATCATCTCCCTTCATCAAAATAGACTCCATAAAGGCTAGAAAAAAGTCAGATAGTGAAGAACTATCAGTATTTTTTGTTTTGAGTGAACACTTAGAATTCACATTTTTGTAATAACTGAACAAAAACTGTTGACTCATTCTGGTTTTGTTTTGGGACACATGTAATGTTAAATTAAAAAAAACACATTAGGAACACATTAATTTTCTATAACACAAAAAAGCAACACTGATGTAGGTGAGCAAGCAAGGCTTATTTAATTGTTTGAAGATAAGCCAAGTTTCACAGTGCACGAAATAAAAGCAATGTAGACCGCAACTGCTTCAAACTATAATTCTGCATATAATAATGTAATAACACTAATAGGAAGGATGGTACAGGTAGAGTGAGGACAGATGTATGGTGACTTAAGACAATTGTTATACAACTGAAAGCACACAGTAACAAGAAAACTGTGGATTTAATTCATCATGCATTTAAATCTAACACATATAATTATCAAGGCCCTAAAACATGTACTTAAATAATCCCTCCAGAGCTGTATGTTAATTAGCTTTATCTTTATATGAGAAATAAACATAATTATCTTAGTAACAATAAGATAAATATATTTATGAAATTATTTATTCATAAATGTAACTAAGAAGTCTTTTAAAAGAATATACATTCCTTTTTAACATTAAAAAGGCTCCTTGATAAATTTAAATTAATTTCTGAACGCAAACTTACACATTTTTTTAAACGACAATTTGAAATAATACTTAATGAGCATAGTTTATGGTGATACTTTTGTACACAAGTGTAATTAAAAGGTACAAAGAATAATGTAAGCAAATTATTAATTTAAATGCATAGTTTTATCACATTTAGGAAGTTAAAGGCACTATTTGGAAGACTGAGTTTTTCTTCAGGGAAACTGATTTAAATATTTGAAATCTGGCCAGGTGCGGTGGCTCACGCCTGTGATCCCAGCACTTTGGGAGGCTGAGGTGGGTGGATCACGAGGTCAGGAGTTCGAGACCAGCCTGGCCCACATGGTGAAACCCCGTCTCTACTAAAAATACAAAATTAGCTGGGTGTGGTGGCGCATGCCTGTAATCTCAGCTACTCAGGAGGCTGAGGCAGGAGAATCGCTTGAACCCAGGAGGTGGAGGGTGCAGCAGGCCAAGATTGCACCACTGCATTCCAGCCTGGGTGACAGAGCAAGACTCCACCTCAAATATATATATATATATATATATATATATATATATATATATATATATATATATATATGAAATCTATCAAAGAATGACAGCAATTATAAATTATCTTTTTCATTTCTTTTTAACAAAAGCAAAAAGCAATACAATATTTAGTAAACAGTTTATCCTAAATAATAATAGAATTATTAAATAGGCTACATTACAGTTACCAAGCTAATAAAATAACATGATTAACAGAATGAAGTGGTATTAATAAAAACCATGAAATAAGCAGCAAACTCAAAAGCCACTTACATCTATATTAGTCACACAAATAATAAAATTCACTAATCTTGTAGGCACCAAATCTGTTTTACCAAGCCACAAGATAGTATTATTGTCAAGACTTTCATTGGGATATATTTACCAAAGAAACAATATTTAAGACAATGTAATTTCAATACTAAATTGTAAATCTGTGGATAAAAATGCCATTGCAGCCTTTCAGATCAGAAAGAGTAACTCCTAAGAGAACCAATCTTTTCTTTATAAAAAATAGGATAATCCCAAACTTTGGAGGAACAGGTTTTTGATGCAGGAATTTTTGGTAGAAATAATAGGGAATAATCTACCTAAGTTTGTAACCCTTAGTTTTTAAGAGGCATAGCATATCAAAACATCAAATCAAATACCATCTTTTACTAACACATCATTACTATACAAAATGCCTTAAGAGACTGAGGCATCCATGGAGATTTAATGGTGTATCCAAACAAGCATCTCATTATTACAACGTTCAATAGTGTCCCGGTCCTTTAAATAAATAGAAATTTTAAGTTTTAATAATATTTATTATTTAGTACAAATGTGAAAATACAACAAATGATAGAAGAATATTATACTTTGTGCCAATATAGAGTCAGTCTAACAGGATCACTCAGAAATCACTTATGGAGAAAATACATATTTAATCTGTTTCTTTCATATGCAATAAGTTTCTCCAAAATAAAAAAGAACAAAAAAATTCAGAAAGTTTAAAGCTTTGGCATAGCGAATAAAATAGGAAACAGTGTAAAAATAAATGGGTAAAAGTAATAATTTTTTGCAAACTCCTGAGAAATTGTTTTAGGTACGAAATTAGAGTAGCATAATTAAACCAAGGTAACAAAATTAAGTGAATGTGTTCAATATACTTCATACTCAAAATGCATAAATAAAGGTAGAAGAGATTTTTTTATATGCCATATTTCAATCAATTCACATATGGTGTTGGCCAACATGATCAATGTTGTATGGCTAAAGGTGTCATTTTCTGGGTAGCTCATTGTGAGGAACTTTGGTGATGGTTGCCATGCAATGGTGTAGCGTGATATGGCATAGTTAAAATCATGGTCAGTTACTTTGATACTCGCCTTTCTATAAGACTTAGAGCTCACATTCCATTAAAAAATAACCTGATTTTGAAAAACAATGCTAAATAAAGGCAATAAGAAAGATGATTATACCCAGGCCATGAGGCAGGTCATAAGAAATACTAAATAATGATATTGCCATCATGGTAGTAGTAATATTCATTAGTCGTTAATATCAAGTTGGGAGATACCTTGGCAAGTTTTGTAGCCTGTAGTTTGGAATGATGCATACTATAATATCTGATGCTCTCACATATAATCTTTAACTTAAAAAGTCAACTAGTAAGAACAGCTATGGTAAGGTGATCAATGAGCAAGTACTTTATTTAAGCTCATGTTGGATTAAAGTCCCTGCTACAGCATTTAGACAACAATGCAAACCGTGCACATCAGTTTTCCTGCCATAGGTAAAACTAAAATAGGCTATAATTAATATAATTTGTAACCACTCACTTACATTAAAATTTGTAAAAGTTTCAATGAGTAGGCTCCTAATATGGATGACCAAAGAATATATATATTTACGTATGTATTTATGCAGATGTATGTGATTATACATATGTATATATACATATATGCACGTCTATTCTATTATTTAAAACTGCTTACACTAACAAGAGGAAAACTAACTTAATTATGTAAACTTGTAAATTGTCAAATTATGATGGTCAGCATTTGATTCAGTTATTGCATATGCTCTAAGATCAAAAGATTTTCCCATACATTTAGAGAAGGTACATGCAAATAAAACACAAGTAGAAACAACTTTTGTTTGTCTTATTTTTGGGAAGAGTAAGGGCAATCAACCAAGAGGAAAACACCCCACTCCCCATAACCAAATTATAAAAAGTAGAAAAATAGATCTAAGACAAACTCTTGAGATGCTTTGTATAGATATTTGAAAGTACCTCACATGGTCTTAGGATCATGTATACACTTACTACATAATGCTTTGGGGGCTGAAAAGAGGAAATAAATACAAATTAAACCAACTCTTAATTATCCAAAATAACAGTCTCAACATTTACATAGCAATTTTCATTTAATGATTATTACAATGTTATAAATATGTTTAGTCACTCTTATTTTACAAATGGTAAACTCCAATATTAAGGATAAGTTTACTTATTGTCTGGCACCAGACCTGCTGAATGAGAAATGGGTCCCATGCCCCAAAAAATTACCCGGCAATCCAGACTTAAGAGAAAATCACTTTGCCTTTTGGCCAAAAGAATATAGAGAGAAAGCATCAATGCATACAGTAATTAAACTAACCTCATTTATTGAGTTAATATATAGATGTATCTGGTGGCACTTACCAGGATTATCAGTAGGCATGTCGACAATCAGTTGGTCGCTGTATTTTCCATATAAGCCATTAGTGCATATGGCTACTATCTGAAGAACATAACTCATATTGGGTAGCAAATTATTGAGAATAGCACCCTAAAAGAAAGATGTTAGTAATTATACAAATGTTATTCTCATAGGACTACCAACACACTAGGTATCTTTCCTAGAAAACTTTTTCTCCCTGGTCCGTGGAAAATACTTCTATTTTATTAACCTAAGGAAAAGTTTATGCAATGTTGCTTAGTTAAACTTGTGGTATTTGTGAATTATGAAGAACTGGAAAGCTAGGCTTTTTTTTTTTTTTTGCTTTTTAAAAATCAGATTTAGTTTCAGGAAGTTTCATTTTTAGCCAGAACTCATCAAATTCATAAATTAGTACTACAAACTAAAAATTAATATTTTAGACAAATAAATGGGGGGCATTTGCAAACAAGGAGCAATGTGAAAAAGTGAACAACTAAGTTATCTCTTTTTCTTGACAATATATATGCAAGAACAGTAATAGAATTATCTTCTTCACGTAATTATGAAATAAACATTTTTATTACTATTTATTTCACGATTTTCCCAGGTCATTGTGTCTCCATATTCCAGGCAACTGAATTAAAAGGTTACTAAAATTTTATCCATTTTGTCCACATGATATGAAACATAATTAATAGTGCATTTTTATTTAAATGCAGGTTCCCAGGACTTGCAGGACTCTAGGTGCCTGAGTGCAGAGTCCAGTGTCCTTTAACCTGCAGTGGGGACTTTCTGGACCTACATCCAGATGAAGGTTTGTCAACTACACCCTAATCTATGGCCAACACTTCCCTACCAGAGCAAAGTTTAATACTGACATGCTCAGGCCACAAAGGGAATCTGTACTTTATTCGCATGCGCTGGTGGAGGGAGGCAGGGGTGGATCTTTTTGTAAGAAATGTTTTCTTACATCCCCAAAGTTCTGACCCAATCATGACTTCCCAGCTGTTATCTGAAAATTTTTTGGTGCAACAAAGAGGACTTGTATGTCCCCTACTCTACTTTTCCTGTGCTGATATAGCGTAATGGAAGACACAATATAAAATGTATCAGGGCACTGAGATTCTGGCACTATTCTACAACTGAAATCTTAAGAAAGGCCACACTAAATGATCTCCAGTTCATAAGTCATATGTATCTACTCTATAGTGTTATTGTTGGCAAAGTTATGATATCCATTTAATTAAATGTAACTTTAAACATAATTTAGTATAGCTTCTAATTTAAAATTTTTTTTTAAATTTAAAAATACTCAGCCTACCCCACCTTCACATAAAGTCTAAAAGTAATGGAGGAAAATAATATACAACCATTTGTAAGTTCTTACCTTGGAAATTAAATTATAATGTTACCCTATGTAAAACAACTGATCATATAGTTACCAAGTCTTGATAGCCATCTGTCAAAAATTCATGCTTGGTTTGGTCCTCTCCATCCAACTGCTGGTACAAAACTGCAAACTTCTCAATCATGGTATCATAAACGACTCGAGGTCTTTCCCATGTAACAAGAAGGCTGGTATAATTCTCTGGGTCAGCCTGAACATTTTCTGGTTCTGAACTACAAACTTCAGAGAGAAAAAAGTACAGTTGTTGATAGAACTTAGCCTTGAGGACTTGAATAAATAAAACATATTCTATAAAAATTTTATTGTGTTTTATTTCAATGTAAAGTAAAAAGTTACACTTTCCCACTGTGGAGCTTTTGCTTATTCCATTTCCTATATCTAAAATACTCTTTCCACCCCTCTTAACTCTATCTGTTCAAATCCCAGCTTTCCATTCTGGAAAGGTCTTGGTCAAATGCTACCTCCTTCATTACTCACATTAATCTCTACTGAAGTGATCTCTGTCATTGTCAATTGCCTATTTTATCATTATTACTGCATTATTTGCATACTTTCGTATTGTATTTTTCCTGAATGAATCTTGACTCCTCTAGTGGATTATAAACATAAGAACCATAGCTCTGTAGTTCTATATTGCCTAGAACATTGTTTTGAATATACCTGGCATACAGATTCATTTTTAGAAATAAATGAACAAAGAATATCTGCAAGCTCATGATGACTTAATTTCTCTTGTTTGGTACCTGAAAATATATTCAGTTCAGGATGAGGATAATTTCAATTATGAAAGACATACTATTATCGGAACATTTTGTTATTAGACAATCCTTGAACTAATTTAAAATTCCCAACCAGAGAAAACCAAAGAAAACCTAAAATTGCCATTTCAGTATTTTTCAGACGTGCTGACAAAAATCCCATTTTGTTATCATAAGTAAATTAAGAAAATAATTTTAGGGAATTAAGAGACTTGTTTGTCTCATCTGAAAAAGTAGTATTATGAAAAATCATTCAGAGACTTCTTAAAATGAATTCAGGCCCATGCTGGGAATCATGCCCCAAATTTAGTCCCATCAGAGAGTGCCCTGGTACTTTCCAAAATGCACTTATAATGTGATAGTTTGGACTAATTTGGAAAAGAAAAACTATAACATTTTATGATATTTTACTAACGAAGCAGAGTAATAAATATCTCTTCATGGGCCAGATTTGCAAAGCAGAGGGAGAGAAAGATCTCTCAGGCTGAATATTAATTAATATACTTACTTGTTTTCAGGTGACACCTGAAGTTACAAAGCCACTCAATGAGAGCATGCAGTAGACTTAGGTAAATCAGTCATCACTGATACAACAATTACAAGGACTCAAAAATATGTTAACAACTGCCGCCGATTGTGACCAAAATGACTTGTCTCTGCTAGTTTGCAGTTCACCTCATGAACACCGGAGGGCACCCACAACTAACAATTGGTCTTACAAATGGAAACAAATTTTACATATAATACTTAGTAGTCACAATTTTAGCATATGTACAATATGATAGCAATGGCATAGCATATGTACAGTATGCTAGCAGTGGTACAGAAATTATTTAGGAAATATGAATATATATATATACCTTTTACAAATAAATACATGTATAGCTTTATATCAGTTAGAAATTATTTTTCACTTCAAACCTTTGATGTTATTTTTTGTTTAGGGAGGGCTTAGGTTGGGGTGTTCCTTTAGAAATAAAAGAAAAATTATTTCATTGTCAAAAAACATGAATTCAGAATAAGAAAATATATTTTAATTTAGGTGTATACTACATGATGTTACTCTACTGAGTGAGACTTCTACTGATGTCCACCAGATGGCAGAAGACCTTCAAATTGTCTCAAGTGAGCTATTCACGTTTCTATCATTGGAGCAACAAGCTCGTTCTTGCTTCTAATGAATCCCAAGTTCACTTTTAGAAAAGTTGGAAGTGACTCTGGACAATATCATTTGTAGACTTCGTCCTCCAAAAATCAATTCCACTTTTTACAGAATGGGAATGATTTAAAGTGAACTATACACTTCAAGATGAAACTGTTTGGAAATGCATTAATTTTGGCTAACACGGTGAAACCCTGTCTCTACTAAAAATACAAAAAATTAGCCAGGCGTGGTGGCGGGCGCCTGTAATCCCAGCTACTCGGGAGGCTGAGGCAGGAGAATGGCGTGAACCCGGGATGCGGAGCTTGCAGTGAGCCCAGATTGCGCCACTGCACTCCAGCCGGGGCAACAGAGCAAGACTCCGTCTCAAAAAAAAAAAAAAAAAAAAAAAGAAATGCATTAATTTTATGCATACATACAAAGCATAACAATCTCTTAAGAAAAAAATAAAGGATTCATTGCAAAACATCCAAAGGACTACTGCCTAAGCAGCAGAAACGACTTTGGTTGGATGTCTATGTTTGTCTCGCCTTAGTAGTAGCAATCAGTAGACGTGTCAAAATTTATGAATCAACATTAATATAAAGTAGAGCTCCAAAAAGAAAGTTATATTTTCTTGCCCATAAGTTTTCACTTCTTTGTTCTCCTCCTTGTAAATCTGTAAGAGTTTGTTAGTTATTTGTTTAATAGCTTGAGTTTATATTTTAATTAGAAATTTACTTTTTAAATACCTGTGTTTATTGTTAATCAACAATATAGTTGTATGCTATCAAGCTTCAGGTAAATCTTTTATTTTAGATGTGGAGACACAGGCTCTTATGGTGAAAAAAACATACATACTTTAGAATGTTATTAACAGAAAAGCCTATATTTCTATATGTAGTTTATGATCTTGCCAAAGGGTTTCCTTTCTATAAGATAGAGCTGAATCTTTTAAATAACAATTTAGTTAATTCCATACACACTATTTGGTGTTCAAACCATGGAATGACCATAGAAGAAGTGATTAATAGACACTAAATTTCCCAGGTTTTGCATATATTTCCTATTGAAATCAGCCCAATTATCTTTGTTTTTTGTTTTGTGTTTTTTTTTTTTTTTTTTTTTTGAGACAGTCTCGCTCTGTCATCCAGGTTGGAGTGCAGTGCCACAATCTCGCCTTACTGCAAACTCCGCCTCCTGGGTTCACACCATTCTCCTGCCTCAGCCTCCCGAGCAGCTGGGATTACAGGTGTCCACCACCATGCCCGGCTGTTTTTTTTTTGTATTTTTAGTAGAGATGAGGTTTCACTGTGTTAGCCGGGATGGTCACCGTGTTAGCCAGGATGGTCTCGATCTCCTGACCTCGTGATCCTCTCACCTCAGCCTCCCCAAGTGCTGGGATTACAGGCATGAGTCACCGCACCCGGCCAGCCCAATTATCTTATTAGAAGCATACCTACTCTGTAAAGTACATTTTCTGGATTGAAAATCAATAACATTTTTCCAGATCAATATGTACTCAGACATCAAATACAAGCTACTATAAAGTAAAATAGTAACAAAAATATAATTTTCCTGATCATGAGGAGTTCGAAACTGTTGAAGCTTCATTCTCTCCCTCAGGCCTATATCTCACATACTGATTCCTTTCCATGTCTACATGTGATCTGGGTCATAGTTACTGATTCTTCAGGGCACACTGGCTAAGAAGGAGAACCTAGTTACTGGTTAGTGCAGGCTTCTGGCTGTGAGTCTGGGGCCCACGTCAAGTCACGTAGAGTACAAGTAAATGGCACTGCACCATACATGAGCAGTGAGCAAAGAATCCTCACTATAAAGAATGAGAATGTAGTCTCCTTTATCAGGGAGCTATACATGTTCTTGCTTTAAAAACTTATTTTTGGCATTCCACTCTCATCTGCTTGGTTCTAGGCACTCTAGACATACAGAAGAAGAAGATAGTGTCTCAGCCTTTAGGATGCTCATTCCTGTGATAGCTTTCAAACACTTAGATTTAGTAAGCTCTCAGATGTAACGAGTGGTTTTAGATTCTAAATTCTGCACTCCATTGATAGAGGAATGTATAAAAAACTTATGAAAAATTCTGCCATTTAGGCCAAATTCTTTTCAAATTTATACACATTTCCTACTAAAAATGGTATAAGCTTCTTAAACTTTTAGCTGACACAAAGTCCTGTGCTTTATCATTCATCCTCTCATTACTTAAATGAAGAGTGAACACCTAGTACGTAGGAATGGATGTGATCTGTGGAACCGGTGCTAAAATATTAATAAGCAAAGCACTGAATGATGAAGAAAAAAAGAAAAGAGACAGAGAAATGCAAATGCATTCCTTGGCTGTGACAAATCTTTGTTAATCAAGAAAGTTGATGCAGATGACCAAGGGGAGATAGGAGATTCTTTCCACTTCTGTTCCTCTCTAGCCTGCCTTGGAAGAAGCACAATCTGCCCTGAGGGAAAAGGCGCAGTCTTAGCTTCAGGTATTCTGAGTAAAATATGGATTGATACGAAATGGCAGGGAGGTGATTCTTAGGGAGTGGCAGAGAAAATGTCATAATTACCTGAGACTACACTAGGTCTCACTCAGTTATTTCCCACTAATTTGAAGTTCTGTACAGTATAACACAGCTCATGCCAAAAGTGCTTCGTAAATACATGCTAATAAGTCCACCACTTCCTTATTTGAAGTTTATGAGCCTCATTTTTAAAAGTAGTAAGACAATGACTGCTGAGAGAAAAGCTGAATGACTTACAGACCCAGAAGGTAACCAATGAGGTTGTGACTTCTCCTCAGGCAGTAGCAGATCCTAAAACAACTAATGTAAACATTGACACAAATGCTGAATGTAATTGGAAAAGATCTATCCCTGTTTTGTACTTCTGAATGATTACATATTCACTTTAGATTAATAGCCAAAAGAAGTCTTTCTAATTCTACCTCTTTCACTCAGTCTTTAGGGACCCAGAGTGACTTCATCAACAGTTCAATTTGTAGTATATAATCTTCCAAGAAGTAAATAATATTCATTTCACTTTTTAAAACATAGGTGCAGTACAGTGTTTACATACATGTGACCTTAACAAATGCTAGTAACAACCCACTGACCTTCAAGAAGGTAAGTCTACTAATGTATAATTCATTATGACGTTTTTTCAGGAAATTGTACAAAATTTCTCATAGGTCAAAATATTATGCTACAAAGACACTCCCTTTATGCTACTCTGTCCTGACAACTATTTTATCTTTTATTGTTTTTGTTTTTTTAAGTTTGTATTAAATATATTACAATGCTAGCAAATGAGATTTGAAGTGCATCCATAATTCTATTCAACAATTATTTAAGAACACCTTAATCATGAAAAACTTGAATAGTATACCATACTCACTGTGATATCTTGGCTGTCCATATATACACATGACAATGATACTAGTTATGAGTCAGTAGCACGTTACATTCAAGGGACTGTACTGCTTTGCAAATTTTAGGTCATTTAAACCTCACCACAACCCTATAGGGTGACCATTTTTAACTTTTCCATTCTATAGGTGAAGAAACTGAAGCTTGGGGAGTTTAAGTAAGTTGACAATTTTTATATGACTAATAAGTATTGGTGCTGGAGTTTAAAATCAAGTCTACTGAACTTTAAGGTCTGATTTTCCCCCCTGTGCTTTAGCAGGTCCCCGCTTCTTAGCAGAAAAACCTTGTAAGGTGGTAAGAAGGCAGCATGAAAGCATCTGATGCCTGGAAGGCGTGCATACAGTTGAACTTAATCTACTTCATACTTTTGCTATGTTTGTACTGTTATTCACATGTAGTACTCATTATTTAAAAAACAAACAAACAAACAGTTTTTATTGGCCAAGCACGATGGCTCACGCCTGTAATCTCAGCACTTTGGGAGGTGAGGGCAGGCGGATCACCTGAGGTCAGGAGTTCGAGACCAGTCTGGCCAACATGGTGAAACCCCGTCTCTGCTAAAAATACAAAAATTAGTCGGGCGTGGTAGCATGCGCCTGTAGTCCCAGCTACTAGGGAGGCTGACGCAGGAGAATCGCTTGAACCCAGGAGGTAGAGGCTGCAGTAAGCAGAGATCGATACACTGTGCTCAAGCCTGGGTGACAAAGAGAGACTCTGTCAAAAAAAAAAAAAAAAAAAAAAAAAAAGACAGTTTTCACTAACTCTTTCAGGACCAGATGGTTCTATTAAATTCTGTGATCCTTAGAAGAGCCAGTGTCCATTCCATGATGCCAAAAAGAAATGCCTTCCTAATAAATGGCACTCTCCATACAAATGGAAATACAGATAAAATATGCATTAATTCACAAATAATCTATTGAGCGCCTGCTGTGAATGCAAAAAATGAATAAGGCCTGGTCTCTAACCTTACAGAGTTTATATGAATATATAAATCTCACATGGTTTTTGCGATTATTTATAATGTATTTCTAAAAATACATTTTCCTACAATGCATTTATTGAGAGCAAGATTTTGACAATTTTTATGCTAGCTTTTACTTCTCCTCTTGGTCAAAATGAGGATGTTAGATATTTATAATGGCAAAAAATATATGAACTGAAGGTCCAAAATTGAGGAACTGGTTAAGGTTTAATATACAGTTATAACTATATGATGGAATACAACATAAAATTAAGAATGATGTATTAAAGGTATAATATGAAGTAAAAAAAATCAGTAAACAGACATGTGGTATACTCTCATTTTTTGTGAAGTATAATAACATTTTTAAAAAATTTCAGAGAAAGATCTGGATGGATATTTACCAAAATCTTCATAATAGTTATCTCTGGGTAGTGTAATTACAGGGTATTTTTATTTTCTTCTGTGTGCTTATCTATATTTTCTACGCTTTATAATTTCATGTAATAAAAATTTTCAGATTGAATTTAATAAAAATCAAAACTGAATATAAATACAATCCTCAATTCTTATTCTCAAATTCAGTTCCGAAGGAGATAGTATATCCATTAAGAAAAAACTTTCGGTGGAGCGTGGTGGCTCATGCCTGTAGTCCCAGCACTTTGGGAGGCCGAGGTGGGCGGATCACCTGAGTTCGGGAGTTCAAGACCAGCCTGACTAACATGGCGAAACCCTGTCTCTACTAAAAATACAAAATTAGCTGGGTGTGGTGGCGCATGCCAGTAATCTCAGCTACTTGGGAGGCTGAGGCAGGAGAATCACTCGAACCCAGGAGGCGGAGGTTGCGGTGAGCCGATATCGTGCCATTGCACTCCAGCCTGGGCAACAAGAGTGAAACTCCAACTCAAAAAAAAAAAAAAAACTTTCATAGGAACACAGTATTTCTATGCACAGGACAAATGATAATAAATGCTTATTGAGTGTAAAGACTCGTGATGGAAACAGCAAGTCCTAGTTTGTGAAGAAAGAAACAACTAATTTCTGTGGGTCTAATCAGATTCATTTCTCCTCTTTTTTAACTGCAAAAATAAAAGCAAGTAGCTCACTTCTTTATAATGATTTCAGTAAATGCAGACTGTTATACAATGGACATCTATAAAAATTATTACATAATAAATCTTGATATGCTAGGTGTTCATTATTGTTAAGTACAATAATTTTACAGAGGATCAACAGAGTCAAAATGAAGAATGTAAATTATTTGCTATTTTTTTCAGTCACAGAGGAAACTATTTCATAACAATTCTGTCATAATACTGATACTATCTTTTTAAAATTAGAATCTTTCTTTTCCTGGAATGATCTTTAATTTTGAACATGAACTGTACACACATGCTAATCCTACTGTACTGTATTCTTCTGAAGGCTTTGCAAATTTTAAATTATTTAAAGGATGTTCAGCAAGAAGAACTTGGCTCCAACCTGTCTGGAAATCTAAAGCCAGTCATTCCTTCTGTGTTTGTTGCCAATAACACATATGCTCTTTTTAACCCCAGAGGCTTAGACATGAGTAAGCTTTGGCCAATGTTTTAATTCATTCACTTATTCACCATTCATCAAGGAATCAAAGGGCTCTTACTACCTGCCAGGTACTTTATCAGATGTTACAGGTAACACTGAGATCAATTAGACAGGGATCTACTAAGAAACTAAGGCATGCACATAAACACCCCTGAAGCAAGGCAAGAAAGGCAAAGTGCCACAGCTGCAGGTCAGGGATTATGATGGTTCAGAAGAAAGAGGAATCAGAAAGGCCCTATACGCATAAGGGCATATTAATTATTTGACAGTGGTTTGTATTAAATCCAAAAAAGAATCGACTGAATATGTAACTGTATGGATGAGACTCATCCAACCAACATGACCTGACTTTTCTATTTCATTGCTGTCTCAAAATGATATATTTTGACAATGATTGAAACTTTAAAATCATAAATGTGCATATTAGTCTATGTAACCAGAAAAAAAAAGTTCTGTATCATCTCTGATCCCCCCTAGAAGGGGATATGTTTTGGCAAACGAAGGGCCCCTTTTAAAAAATATTTATGTATTTATTTATTTTTACTTCAACTTTTATTTTAGATAGAAGAGCACATATGCAGGTTTGTTACATGAGAATACTAAAAGATGCTGAGGTTTAGAGTACAAATCCCATCACTCAGCTAGTGAGCATTATATTTGATAGGGAGACTTTTTAACTCACCCACCTCTCCACTCTCTCGTACACCACAGTGTCTACTGTTCCCATGTTTATGTCTATGTGTAATTAATGTTTAGCTCCCACTTATAAGTGAGAACATGAGGTACTTGGTTTTCTGTCCCTGCATTAGTTCACTTAGGATTATGACCTGCAGCTCCATCCATCTTGCTGCAAAAAAACATGATTTCATTTTTTATGACTGTGTAGTGTTCCATAGTGTATATGTACTACATTTTTTTAATCTACCACTGAGCACATGGGTTGATTCCATATCTTTGCTATTGTGACTAGCACAGCAATGAACATATAAGTGCATATGTCACTTCTTAGAAGAAGGCATACAACTGCTAAGAAACATATGAAAAACTACTCACCATCACTAATCATCGGAGAAATACAAACCAAAACCACAATGAGATACCATCTCATACCATTCAGAATGGCTATTATTAAAAAGCCAACAAACATTGCATCTAGTGAGGCTGCAGGGAAAAGGGAATGCTTATACACTGTTGGTGGGAATATAAATTAGTCCAGCCATTGTGGAAAGCAATCTGGAGATTTCTCAAGAACTTAAAACAGAGCTACCGTTTGACCCAGCAATCCCATTACTGGGTATACACCCAAAAGAAAATAAATCATTCTACCAAAAAGGGCCTTTTTTGATTGCTGAGCTCATTAGGATGAGCACGGGCAGGCAAGTTTGAAGGACCTGGGACAAAGCTAATTTTCCTGCCTTAAGAAGACGTGAAGACTTGGGTGGGATGAGGGTAGCAGCTGAGACTCTGTGAGGGGAACTGACCAAAGAGGAGGGTCAAACAATCTGAAGGCAAAGACTCTAAGGCCCAGCAAGGGAGACTGCAGAAGAGATGTGTTTCTGCTAACATAATTTTAGAATAAAAACTGATGGCCATAAAGATACAAAACACTAATAAAAACTAGGATTGTCTTTTGAGCACTTTTATTTATCCTAAGGATATACAATATAAGCGGATAACACTATATAAGCAATATTGTCTAAGCTGTAGGCAGATATTTTGATGAGATGCTGAGTTTTGTAGCCTCTCCCCATCACTCCATAAATATTTAGTCAAAAATACAAACATAACAAAGTAGTTGGTGTGACTGGATTTTCTTGAGGAAGCTGGGGAAGGCACACATATAGGATAAGTAGACAACAAAAACAGCCTGTAAATGTGCATTTTTATTGTTAAACTTTCTAGTTTTTCCTTAAGTATTGCATATTTAAGTCCCTTCAATTTAAATGAGTGAGTCTATTTTGAGTTGCTGTTTTTCTAGTTAGTTCTGCCATTTATTTTGGAACCAAACCACAGACAAATAGGTGATAAATAAATTATTATTACTATGGCAGTCATAATAGTATTGCAGCAGGGATGTGAAATTCTGTGACAATATACACACATAGTCTAAGGGAATAAAATCGATTCCTACAAGCTCCATTCAAGAAAATTATTTTCCTTACTTTATAGGTCCTATCATGTATTTCTAGAACCCAAAACACCAAGTAGTTAAGAAAGTGTTGTTTCTGTGTTTGACCTTAGGATAAACAAAACACTCAAAATCCATTACTATTTTTTTGAAGCTTCATGTCTTTAAAGTCATCAGTTTTTTATGTAAGCAGAAATTATGTTCCTGTATAAATGTCAAGTACAGTGGACAGAAGTTTGCAAAGCTTTAGATTCAGGGAGACTTGGGTTCAAATACTGACTCCATTCCTTTCTAGTTGTGTAAACTTGGGCAAGCCATTTAATATCAGCTTCCCAAACTGTAAAATGAAGACAATGAGGCCAACTTCATAAGAGTGAAGTGAGGTCTACGTCAAATATTGTCTGGTTCCAATGCCTGGTAGAGTCACACAATACACAGTAGCTATTACTGTTTTTGTTATTATGGATTATTACTTTGGGCCTTTAACACTTAACTGTGAAAGCAATGTTCTACATTAAATCAGAATTATATACAGATCTACACATTAAACAGTGCAGGAAGCACCCATTAAGTATAACTTGCTATGTTTTTATTATGTGGAAATGGAGTCTTTCAGCCATGCAGTGAATATTTAGTGAAAGAGAGCTTTACTTTAGTTTGGCCATGGAGATAAAGAGATAAAAGACTTATTTACTTCCATTATGGGGCTCAGAGATTGCTGGCAGAGACACAAAAGTAAATAGACAATTACCATAATGTGGTAACTGCTATGAAGTCTGGAGAAGCTGAGCACATCGTACAACCTCCAGAGGAGCACCATTTACCATCTATGGGTATGGTGTCTCCTTGAGTGTGCAGTCCTGTGGCCATTGCCAGGGCCAGACTTAGGGGGACAGAAGCAGAGTCAGAGATGGCCTCCTAGTGGATGCAATGCTCAACTTGAGTCTTGAAGAATGAGGAGGCAGGGAAATGAAGACAGTGGAGAGGAATATGCCATCAATGGGGAAGCCAAATGTACAAATGCAACCTGGAAGAATGTGGTCTTGCATCTTCAGGGGACTTCATGGAGTTCAATGTAAGGGAAGGATGCTAGTTGGGGAGGCTTAAGCACTAAGACTAGTAAACCTACACAGAGCCTGCCATGCAATAACAAGCAGTTTGAACTTTATTCCAAAAGTGATGCAGAACCAGTGAAGGGTTTTAATAAAACAGAATTGATAAAACTGTGTGACAAAAAAATCATATTTATTTAATTAGTAATTTGGTCTATTATATTTAAGAAGAGGGGATGGTTAAATCCACTTTCTTTTTTCTAATCGATTGTCTATTATTTACTGGACAGTATGCTATAGTATTTAGTACTACTGATAGAAATGTAATTAAATTTCCTCACTTTGGGGCAATTTAGTTTAAAATTTAGTGTCATAGTAAATATAGCTATTCATCACTGTTGTCTTGAATTCTATTTTTTTGTTAAAGGATAAACGATTCTTGGAAATATCACATTAAAACAATAAAAGCTTGTTGTTTTAATGCCTAATCTTCAAAAGCAGATGATTATTAAATTAATATTATACATGGCAAAAAAAAATCATTGAATTCATTGCAGGACTGATATCAAAGAGGTCCATCTACTTGGAAAGGTTAGAAGTCCTTTCCAGTGCAAAGGTCACTTCAACGACTTCTTTAATGAACAAGTGACAACCTCAGTAAAAACTGAAAAGGACAAGTCAGCAGATGTATCTGATTGTGTTCTCTGGACATTTAAAAATGCTTTTAACTACTGTGTCAGCTTCAAAAAACAGACGGCATTCTAGAGACACCCCTCTGGTGTCATTTCCCTTGGCTGTACCTAAAAAGAGCAAATTTCTTTTCCTCCAAAGAAGGAAACTGGGAAGAAGATTCACTTCTTATTCATTAATAACTCAGTGCATTTATTTTCAGTACTGATAAGGTGCTAGGCTCCTTCTTGGGGGCTGCCAACACAAAGATGAGCACTTTAAAACCCAAATACTGTGTCAAGACTCAGTTCAAAGGCGGTTCTCCCATAAAGTTTTCCTTATTATCCCAACCAGAAATGATCTCCCAAGCTCTGAACACCTCAGCCTCTTATTCATTCCTTTCTCATACCTCTCAGCCCAGGCAAATACCAGAAAGTGAACTTGGAGGTGTGTACTTTGCTTTGCTACTTATTACTGTGTATTCTGGAAAAATGATTTTCCTTATTAAATCTCAGTTTTTCTCATCTGTAAAATGGGGTTATTCTTATGGGAAGAATAGATTTTTTTAGTTGCCATTTTATAGATGTGGTATCTGATATTCAGAAAATTAGACAGCTTATCTAAAGCTACAAAATTAATAATTAAAACATTTCTAAAGCTCTAAGTCCTCTATATTTGTCAGTTTACCAAAATTACCTCCTATAACACTGCATCTATGAGAGTTGTAGAAGATTATATTTAAATACATACCTGCTTCATGAATCTCTTCCTTTCCAGTGTATGAGGAAAACACCTGTCTAGAGAACTTGTACTGTTGCTCTCGAAAATTGTTTTGTAAGTAGTCCATCAGCATGACATAACCAGATTGTTGCATTGTAAGAACTTCACAAAAAACAGCCAACTGAAAAAAAGATCAAATAATTTAACATATCTGCTTCAAAGGCATTGGTAAATGCTTTAAAATGGATATTTTATAGCAAACTTAGAACATAATGTTTTTTAAATGGCTTTGAATTACTTGATTTGTTTGAATTTCTAAGATTACCTGGCTTTCAGAGATGCTAACTGTATCTTTAAAAACAATCCAGTCAACTGTGTCTGTGCAGGGAGGAGATGTCAATGAGCCATTGTAAATGTAATACTTGTCAGTTGAGTTTGGCAGAAGGTTCAACAGTATGAATGGATCTAAAGCAGCCTGCTTCCCTAAAAAGGAATAATATACATCTCAGCTGGAATCTCAACACTGGAACTTAGCTGTTCAAAACTTCTATGAAACAGAGACACATGCTTTGTTATGTATTTAATCAAAACTGAGATTTTGAAACATTTTAGATATATTTTTAAATGGTAATAAAGCTGGCATGCCCCAAATTGTATTACACATGTCACTATACAGTGTTAGATGACTTATCTTTACATCAAGATGGTGAACAGAATATTTTACATATAAAAATACTCAGAAATCAGATGATCATCTCAATAGATATAGTTATATCATTTCATAAGACTCAATACCAGTTCATGGAAAATAAAAACACAACCTTATTCTGGTGAAGATGATCATCAAAGCCTGTACTAGTCATCATATTTAAGAATGACTTATTGAAAGTGTTTCCCCTAGAGATCAAGAATGACACCAGGATTTCCTGCCATCACCACTTCTATTTAACATTGAATTGGAAGACTGAGCCAGTGCAATAAAGAAAAAAGAAACGAAAATCTTAAGATTGTATAGGAAAAAATAATACCATCACAGTGTGCAAATAACATGATTGTGCATGTAAAACATTGAAAATTATTTACAGGCCGGGCGTGGTGGCTCACGCCTGTAAAGAAGCCAAGGTGGGTGGATCACGAAGTCAGGAGTTCGAGACCATCCTGGCTAACACGGTGAAACCCCATCTCTGCTAAAAATACAAAAAATTAGCTGGGCATGGTGGCACGTGTCTGTAGTTCCAGCTACTCAAGAGTCTGAGGCAGGAGAGTGAGTCGCTTGAACCTGGGAGGCGGAGGTTGCAGTGAGCCAAGATGGCGCCACCGCACTCCAGCCTGGGTGACAGAGCGAGACTGCATCTCAAAAAAAAAAGAAAGAAAGAAAATCATCTACAGAGAATGAGAAATAATAAGTGAAATTAGCAAAGTCACTGCACGTAGATCAATATACAAAAATCAATTGTATTTCTGTGTACCAGCATCAAACAACAGAAAATAAAATTTAAAGCAATATGATTTAAAATAGGAAAACATTATCAAATACAAATAAATCTAACAAATAATGTGTAGAATATCTACACTGAAAATTACAAAACATTCTGGAGAGAATTAAATAAATATTAAAATGGCAGAAAGATTATGTTCATGGGTTGGAAGAGTCAGTATTGTGAAGGTGTTGATTTTCCCCAAATTGATTCATAGATTCAATGAAATCCTAATTAAAATCCCAGAAGGTTGTGTGTGTAATTGACATATTGATTCTAAAATCTCAATAAAAATCCAAAGAAAAGTTAAGACAATCTTGAAAAATAATAAAGCTGGAAAACTTTCACTACCAGATAGGAAGAGCTGTCATACTGTTACATATAAAGCTGTAGAAATTATGATAGTGAGGTATTTGTGCAAAGATCGATGAAGAGAACAATGGAAGAGAAAATAAAAGAGAAAAATATGATCATTTGATCTATGATAGAAAAAATTATTATGGAATGTGGAATGGATGGTCTTTTCAATAAACAGTGCTATATCAATTGAATATCCTCATGGAAAAAAGTGAATCTTGATTCCCTACTTCACATCATAAGCACAAATCAGTTCTAAACTGATTGCAGATTTAAATGAACATATTCATAATGCTTTTAAATGAAAACATTAAAAAATTATCATCATAACCTAATGGTAGGTTGAGGTTTCTGAAATGGCACACAAAAAATATTACTTATAAAAGGAAAAATGATAAAATTTAGTATATGACAATCAAGATCTATTCATCAATAGTCATTAAGAGAGTTAAAAGGAAAGCCAAAGAGTGGAAAAAAATATTTTTGATACAATATACACAGATGTGTTTGTGTGTGTACACACACACACACACACACACACCAATAAATATGGGTTTATTCTTATATATAAACTTGTATACAGATTATAGAATTTCTATCCAAAAACTGGTAGAGTTTTCTTAGGTGGGCCATCTGGCCTTCAAACCCTGAAACAATCCAAATATATCTGTCTCCTTGAATAGTCTCATTTGTATCTGTCCAATAGCACTTACCAATAGCAATACCTTGGTCATTTAGCTATTTGTGAACCAGCCCTCACTCATGTAGGCAGCAATCTACTTACCAGTGAGATCTGTGTCTAATTTGTTTTCCTATCTCCTGAACTACCCAGCCCAGTGCAAGTCCTCTGCCCTCTCTATGAGATTAAGGCCATTAAGAAATAGTCCCTGAAGCCAATCCGTGTAGTCTAAGTGAGGTGGCGGAGTGTAGAGCAGTGGTGTTAATCCTTATGTGAATAATCCAGGGAGTTTTAGAAAAATACCAATGCCTCAGGCCCCACGCTAGACCATTTGCATTAAGATCTCTAGTGGTCAGGCCTGGGCATCTAGATTTTTAAAAAGCATCCCCAGGTGATGCAAACATGCAGGGTAGTAGGCTAGTGTAGAAAATCCCAAGTAAAGTGAAGCCTTTTCAAGGTTTTAGTCTTTCTTTTCTTTCTTTTTTTTTTTTTTGAGACGGAGTCTCGCTGCCGCCCAGGCTGGAGTGCAGTGGCGCTATCTCGGCTCACTGCAGGCTCCGCCCCCCAGGGTTCACGCCATTCTCCTGCCTCAGCCTCCCGAGTAGCTGGGACTATAGGCGCCTGCCACCACGCCTGGCTAATTTTTTGTGTTTTTAGTAGAGACGGGGTTTCACCGTGTTAGCCAAGATGGTCTCGATCTCCTGACCTCGTGATCCGCCCGCCTCGGCCTCCCAAAGTGCTGGGATCACAGGCGTGAGACACCACGCCCGGCCTAGTCTTTCTTAACCACACTTTCCACATTAGAATACGAAATGACTAGACTATCTGATCTTAAAAGTCTATTCCAGCTGTAAACTCTATGAAGACTGAACATACTCAGAAAGCCTCAAAGAAAAATAAGTTATTTAAAAGTTAAATTAGTAAATGTTAACTTTTCTGTAACAGAAACTTCTGAAGGGAAAAGGAGTACTGTTATTAACTAAAGTTACAGACAACTGCTTCAGTCTGAATTAACAACTGAATCTTAGAAATAAAAACCTTTTCTTAACTGAATTGATAGTCACGTCAATATGTCCTACATGTAGTTTTAATCCATTAGAAAGTTCAAGTTTTCTTTGATTTAACGGATTCATTAGTAACTTCTAAAAGTATGTCCTCCTCTTCTCCAATGCCAAGATAACATGATCAGAATTCAGATTAGATTCAAGTTCTCAGGAACTAAGAAGAATATTTTTTTTTAATCTGTGAATGTTTTTTAGATTTATGTTTTCAATACTAGAAAAGTGTTGTAGTTAAATTACCTCCTTAACTGACAAGTGGACTGTAATTGTTCCTTTTCCCACTGAAGACTAAATTTATCTTACAAATATTTCATGAAAAATGTGTGTGTTGAGAATACTAATTAGGTAAAGAGCCAGAAATTGACTCGCTGCTAAGTTAGGTGGAAATGAATTGACCCCAGGAGAGCCAGGGGCCCGGAAGGGAAAGCAGAGGTGAGACCTGAGTAAGGAGAGTGAGACAGAGAATTTTCCTATTATTGGGAAAGAAATTAAAGGGGAAAAAATTTAAAAAGAAGCAAAAGAATCAGAAGAAGATTTTTTTTTTTTCATTTTCCTCTCCCTATCCCCAATGTGGAATCCATTCTTCTGCCTCTGGACCTCAATAGCAGTCACCTGGTCTCTCTTACGGATGTGGTAACTAGATATCACAAGATTTTTAAATTACAGAAGTGCTTTTCAGTTACATTTTCTTCTAACAAAATTTCACTACAGTGTTTTCCTTTGTTTGTGTTTGTGGTTTTCATTTTGTTTTGTTGGCTTGAGAAAAAAACACCTGCTTCATCCAAGTAACCTCACTATTGTTAACACAAGAGAGAAGCACAGCAGAGCCAGTGCTGCTCTATTTGGGGTCAGTCATTCATTTTTGCAATCATTATTTGCTTGAACATGTAATGATGATCAACCAACCAACTAATCAGATCCGTCCATGAGAAGGCTAATGGTGGAAGAAAAAAGATGGGGAGGAACAAAGATGAAGAAACCACAATAGGGCCAAGCACTAGAGAAAGGCTGGTAACTACATAAAACCAGCTCCTATTACTTAGGACAATGATATTTAGCATGGGGTCACACCAATGCCTATGAGGACTTTTCAGTACAGAAATTTCTGGGCTGAAATTGTGATTAAGAAAGCACTATAAATCAGTCTGATGAGAATTTCCATCAGATAATCACTGATGATGTTACCTGGGATGTGTCTCTTCCCTGCAACTCGAAAGATTGCAACTAACGTCTTTTGTGGGCTCTGCTTGGAAAATATTAATTCATTATCTCAGTATTGCTGCAACATCATGCTCTCTCTCTCTCCACTCCATGGATAGGATAATGCCTAACATAGAGTAGGTATGGTGGATGGGAGGGAAAGAAAGAAAGAGGGGTTGAGGGGAGGAATGAGAAATGGGCTTTGTCCTTTAGAGAGGAAACAGGAAATGAGCAACCAGCCCACAGCATAGTAAGATAGATCTTATAATCTGAATAATGGTTGAAAAGGTGTTTTTTTTTTTAATAACTTACATTATATGGTGAATACAGAGCCAAATTTGGGGATTTAGCTGTGGTTCCAGAATCACTGCCTAAAGACAAGTCCCACCTTTGATCCTCAAGGTTGCCAGCAGCAATGTCTGATTGCCAATATGGGGGAGCCTTCAGTTTATTGGGCAGTAGGGGATTTTCTAGAGTCAGAAATAGACTGGATTTAATTCAAGAACTCTCAAAATGGAAACGTTTGACTTTAGAAAGACTTAACTTATTTGGTTTGGGTAGTTGTCCTTGCTGAGTATATTGAAATACTAAGTATCCAGATGAATGAGTGGATAGGCATGAAGGATTTTGGTTTTTGGTAAATGAGGAAGTTGGTGCACAAATAGTGGTGATATGGTTTAGCTCTGTGTCCCTGCCCAAATCTCATCTTGAATTGTAATCCAAATTGTAATCCCCATGTGTTGAGGAGGGACCAAGTGGGAAGTGATTGGATCATGGGGGCAGTTTCCCCCATGCTGTTCTCATGATAGTGAGTGAGTTCTCACGAGATTTGATGGCTTTATAAGTGTTCCGCAGTTTCTCCTTTGCTCACACTCTCATTCTCTCTCTCATGCTGCCATGTAATACATGCCTTGCTTACCCTTTGCTTTCCACTATGATTGTAAGATTCCTGAGGCCTCTCCACCTATGCAGAACTGTGAGTCAATTCAATCTCTTTCTTTTACACATCACTTACTCTCAGTGTGAAAATGGACTAATACAAGTGAGGTAGAGAGACAGAGAGAGAGGGGGTAAAGGACTAGAATCCGTCCTCAGCTAATCCAAGAACTGTTCTGCTTTCAAATTAAGAGCCAGAATATAGGCAGAATAATGCTGTTAGGGAATCCATATTCTCAGAAAGGGAGAGAATATGTAGTCACAGTGTATCTGACAAAGTATCTTCCTGAATGGCTTTCAGACAGTAGATATTAGAAAGGAAATTTTAAAGAACATGAGCAAGTTTATTCTCAAGCTCGTATGAGTGCCTTCCAAGGCACCCCCAAAAAGTAAAGTACCTGGGAAAGTAAAGAGGCCTTAAGAGAAAGTCTCAAAGGTCCCATAGTTGCACAAGTCAGGGTTAACAACCCAGTGTTAACATCTCTTTCATTGTCCCCACAGGCTGGTGCAAGGTCTGGAACATTCAGAATTCATATCTTACACATTTTTTTAAGTATAGGAATTCAAACAAGTTGTTTTATTTCAGTCTGGATAGAATCTACTTTGTGACTCAAGTGGGGAAAATTAAATGTGACTTATCGCATTCAATGTAGAATTTTGCAATCTGGGTTGATGGAGGGAGGTAACAGCTTCATCTTGTGCTGTGTCTCTAAAAAAAAAAAAAAAATAAAAGCTACCCTGCAGGAGTTCACATATTCCTGACTTCTGAAAAGTTGGGTCAATTCAGATCCTCACATGTAATTGACAATGATAAATCAATCCTAGGCCAGGCTTCTGCTTTCAAGAAAAGGATCTACATGAGTTTTGTTTCTGATTTCAAATTTTGCAGCTTCCAGAGAGGAATAATCCTCATTTTATTGGTAACTCAGGGCAGCATTAAGATCCTGTGTGTGAGTGCTTAATAAAAATAAAATAGTAAAATTAATAGGCTTACACTCCTCTGCCCATGTTGTTAAAAGCATTTGTTGTGACAAATTACAAGATCCATGAGATAGCAGGCAGAACAATGTCAAAGCATATTGCATCTTCTTCTATGTAAGTGTTGACCTTCTTCCAAAAATCTCATCTCCTCATGTTGATAAAGCAAAGGATTTATCAAGGAAACCACCAGGGAATAAATTTTAACTTGAGTAACAATTCCTTTTCTACTTTAAAATATGATATTTATAAAATTAGCTGGTTTCAGATTAGGAATTAGTCTTTAACGGATGTATAATGCAGAGACATAATAGATAAATAGGCTTTAATTGCATGATATAATTAGATTATTTTCAAGAATTTTAAAAACTTCAATTTCCTACTTACATTAATGTTTCATGCTTTTGATGTAACAAAATTTTCTGATAAATTGTTATTTATTTGGTGAGAAATGTATAAATTATCAAGTGTGGAAAGTGAGAGATTGCTCCTCTTTAAAAATGTAGTACTTTCCACCTTTTGGAACAAGTGACTTTTGTCGTATTGTCAACATTCTTATCCATCCAAAGCAGAATCCTGAAGAAAGATAGTTCCCCAAGTAGCTTACCAAAACGACTAACACTTTCGACTCCATCAATAATCGCTTTGAAATCCAAATTTTCTTCTGTCCCAACCTGTTAAAAAAGAATCACATTCTAAAAAAAGAATAAAACATTTGGATAACTATTCAATAAAAATGTGAAGATTAATGAATTCCATTTTAAATATGTGCATTAAAAAATAGTAAGTTCCAAAAACACTTTTTTTATAGCTAGGTGAAAACAAATAAAGCAAACAAAAACCAGGTAACTTACATATTTCACTAAGAAAAGTAAATTTTAAAATTTTATGATTCATAGTTACTGATAATAATACATAATTATTAATATGATGCTTTTATGTACTATAAGCAAATCTGTGTACTTAATAGAACACTTTGCCCCAGCTAGAAAAGATTCACCCAATTAACAAACACAAGAGTCTCCTTTTAAAAATACCAGGCAAGGGTCATCTTTTTTTGAAAATGACCACCAGTTTTAATTTTACTTGTGAGCTCCTCTCTTTGTTAGAAACTATGTCTTGATATTTCACGTCAATATTTAATGTGACTTAAAAAGGAATTACATTAGTGTAAAGTGTATATATATTACCTCAAACAAAATGGATAAAGCTCTTAACTTCCCTTTTCCTTTGACTGCTTCCTCAAAACTTGAAAATCGGTCCGCATCAAAGCAGTAGATTTGCATCTATAAAAGTAACAATGATAGTTTTATGATACACAAAGACTTCATAAAAATCAGCAAAGAGAATTCTACATTCTAAGTATTTCCAAAATCTTTTATAAATTACATGTATACAACTACATTTGCTATCATTTACCATCCTTCAATAAGGAAGGGAATAGAAAGTTAGACATATCTAAAACCAAAATGACCATTTTGAGATTACCAGGGGACTGTGCCGTAAAATTTATTAGAACAATTACATAAAATAAATAATCATATATTACTTTAACTGCTTTATGGAATTATTTTAAATATAATTTTCTGTCTTTCTCAAGAGTGCATGCCTTTCTTGAGAGTCCAGAGTTACCATTCTTTGATATTCCCATATTGTGGTCTATTAATATTGAAACTCTCAAGGACTCTCAGCTTCTACCTAAAAAATACCAAAAGAGTTTTAAGTTTCATATTTTGATTCTCCTTTCCAGCTGTGAGGCTATCCCTTGTTAATTTCTGCTTCAGTCCATATATGTATCTCTCTGTAACAGCCTCTATATAATTTGGTGCTTCTCCTGTCTGGGTTTGGAAATCAGGTGTCTCAGGCTAGATAGAAGTAGACTTAAGGTAAGAGTAGGAAGCCTCTGAGAGCATAAAGCATAGTCAGTGCTCTGATGGGAGAAACAGAGGGTGTGCAACAGAGGATAGCAGTGGCTCCTGCTTTGGGCGAGTCACCAAAACCTTTTCAGAGACAGGATTTCTAAACTGACCCTTCAAGAATGAGCAGCTTTTAGCCAGGTGAAAGGCAGAAGAGAAGGGCATGTGTTCAAGTCAGAAGTACCACCTGGCAAAGGCCTATTAGGCAAGACAGTATGACAAGCATGGGAAATCGAAAGAAATATGATTTAAAACTTAATAATTATTAATTTAATAATCCAAGTAAGCAAACTTTTTTCTGACCTCCCATATGGTATTTAGGAGAAAAACTGATAAGGCTTTTGTTTGTTTGTTTTGAGAGGGGGTCTCACTCTGTCACTCAGGCTGGAATGCAGTGGCATGATCATGGCTCATTGCAGCGTTGACCTCATGGGCTTAAGTGATCCTCCTACCTCAGCCTCTGGAGTAGTTGGGACAACAGGTGCATGCCACCGTCTTCAGCTATTTTCTCTTATTTTTTGTAGAAATGGGATCTCACTATGTTGCCCAGACTAGTCTCAAACTCCTGGGCTTAAGTGATCCTCCAGCCTCAGCCTCCTAAAGTGCTGGGATGACAGTTTGAGCCACCATGCCTGGTGAATTGAGAAGACTTGATTGTGAGATGTAGGAGATAAGAAATACGGAGCAAGCCAGGGATGATCCTTGGGTTTCCTGCTTACACAATTACATAGAGAGTGTTTTAAAACAACAAAGAAGACTGGGCATGGTGGCTGATGCCTGTAATCCCAGCACTTTGGGAGACTGAGGTGGGTGGATCACGAGGTCAGGAGTTCAAGACCAGCCTGGCCAACATAGTGAAACTCCGTCTCTACTTAAAGATAGAAAAAATTAGCTGGGCATGGTGGCATGCACCTGTAATCCCAGCAACTCGAGAGGCTGAGGCAGGAGAATTGCTTGAACACAGGAGGTGGAGGTTGCAGTGAGCCGAGATCATGCCATTGCACTCCAGCCTGGGCGACAGGGCGAGACTCTGTCTCAAAGCAACAACAACAACAACAACAAAACCCCAATACCACTGAGAGACAATTTGAGAGGCTTTTGCATTAAAATAATTGTATTAGGTTTAGTGCATGGATTCTGTACCATGTATTTTGATTGCTCAGGGCTCTTGTTGATAGAATTTTTCTTGAACTTCATCTTTGTTCTAAATAGGTAATATTGTGAGTAAGCTAAACTCTCAGAAGTGATATGTTGCTTAATGAATTGACTTTGACTACTTTGACAAAGCAAATTTGATAAATGTGCTTTTCTTTAAAAATATTGAATAAAGAAAAAATCCATAGTATAAGCTGTAAATGAATGTCGATATCCATCTTTTAAAAAAAGCTTTTTAGTCTTTTAAGAGGTAATTCACCCTATCTTATTTTTATTATTAATAACTTTTGAATTATAAAATGAATAGTTTCATTCTAGGTATTTTAGAAAACATGGGAACTTGAAAGGAGAAAATAAGAGGCACCTATAATGCCATCACCCAGAGAAAATCATTACTAGCATTTTCTTGAATTCCATCAATTGCTTTTTTTTTTTTTTTTTTTTTTTCTTTTTTGAGACAGCGTCTCACTCCATTACCCAGTCTGGAGTGCAGTGGTGTGATCTTGGCTCACTGCAACCTCCACCTCCTGAGTTCAAGTGATTCCCATGCCTCAGCCTCCTGAGTAGGTGAAATTACAGGTGAGTGCTACCATGACCAGCTAATTTTTGTGTTTTTAGTAGAGGTGGCATTTCACCATGTTGGCCAGGCTGGTCTGGAACTCCTGACCTCTAGTGATCTGCCCATCTCGGCCTCCCGAAGTGCTGGGATTACAGGCATGAGCCACCGCGCCTGGCTCCTCAATTACTTTTATGAGTAATAAGTCAATCCCTCATTTAATTTCCATAGTAATGTTATAAGGCAGGTGCAGCTACTATGTCAATTTCACGGAAGAAAAATGGAAGCATTGGTAAGTTAAATAATTTATATATTGTATGTCATGTAACCAATAACCAAATGGTGGAGTCAAGATTCAAACCTAGTCCATTTGATTCAGACTCCACTCTCAGTCAATATTTAATTAATTTTAATGTATTAAAAAATTGCAAAAATAATACTGGTTATACCACTTAACATGTTTCTTTTTAAAACCATTAATACCTTATCATGAGCCTTTTATATGTATATATATCATTCAAAAACATGATTTTTGTGAAATCTATAATATCCATCATAATGTATTTAAATAATCATTGCCTTTTGGTTCAATATTATATTTTAAATAAATTTTTGCAATTTTTAAATTTTTAGACTAAATGGCTTTAAATTTAAATGTTGGGTATTTAGTGTAAATCATTTAAAATTCTTAATAAAAACAAGCAAACTGCTTCCCAGAAAGTCTACCAATTTAGACTTTCTCTAGACATGTAAGAAAACATTTCACTACACACTCATTTTTTATAATTATTTACTTTGCCAATTTTAAAGCTGAAAATTTTTCTCATTTTAATCAAAAGATTTAAATCAAAGGATTCTCCAGTATGTTAATGAAATTGTCCCCCTTTTCCTTCCTTCATTAATTCATCAGCATTTATTGATTACCATTTTGTGGCACTTTGGGTTGCTACTTACCAGCAAGTGGCAAATCAAAGATAAGTCTTACATTAATTTAGCTTAGTCTAGTATATTAATCAAGTAATCAAAATATCACTTTATAAATTTTAATATTGGATTTTAAAATTAATCAAATTATATGCTAAATAAAAACATCAATTATTTAGAAAATAAAATAGTACACAGCAGATCTCCTGACTTACCTCAAGTGGAAATTTTTGTCCTTCTAAACTATGCTCTGATCCATCAGATGACATATTGCATTTTCCCCAGTGAAAAGTTATCTTGCTTGCTTTAAACACCATTTCTGAAACTCCTCCGCTGACACGGTAGTCATTAGTGAGATTAATTTCCACTAAAAAAAGAAATACAATTGCACCTAAGCTTCTGAAAATCAAAATTTTAAATTTCAACTAAATTTCCATCTACTTAAGGTACATTAAGAAAAATCATTTATTTGATAAATTTACAAAATATGAAGTCGCCATTTTGGAAGCCAAACTTTGTAGGTCTGCACAATATACTTATATCTTATTGCCACAAATGCAAACTAAGCTGAAGATATTGACTAGTGTATGACTTCAAGGGCAGAAGACAGCCAGTCCACCTGCTCTGTTTGTTTGGTGTCCTAAGATAGCTGTTACTTGAAAGCTCTGCTTCCCTAAGATGTCAGATGGTAATAAGAAGACAGAGCAAAGGGGGAAGGAACTGAAGGGTTAAAAGAAAAAAAAAAATAAGTCTTCTCCTCAGAGTTCTCTCACCTTCCTATTTTCAGCCCATTTCTACTCCTTATCAGGCTGCTGCTTATCCCTCCATGTATCACCCAGGCTTCATTAGCAAGGTCCAGAACCTGGGTCCCTGGCTGTGGCAGGAAAGGCAGGAAACTCATTCTTATGGAGGAGTTTTGGCCATCTCATGTTTGAACCCTGAGTGGCAGAAGCTTAAACTCCCCTGTATGAGTTCCACAGCAGATATTATCTGACTATATTTTAACAGTCTTCTGGAGAGCTCTCTTGAGAGCCCAGTGAAAGATTTGGATGTCCCTCAATAAAGTTTAAATAGTCTCTGTTCCATTAGGGATAAATCACTTTGGCATCAGGGACTGAATACAACATATTGGCCAGCCAGCTAGGGATACAAACTCCAGCTAATAATAATAATAACAAGCACAATAACAACGACAGCCAACATTTACATATCACTTACGATGTACCATGAACTATACTAGTTACTTTACATATATTATCCATTTGATCTTCGCACAACCTTGGTAAGTAGATACTGTATAAACCTTATTTTACAGATGAGGAAATTGAGTCACAGAAAGGCTAAGTAGGTTGCTCAAAGGTTCCCCACTGTCATTTCAAGAGCCAGTGGTGAACCCAAGTAATGTGGCTCTATTAGCTCAATAATCTAATAACCACTCTCCCCTAAGAAAAACAAAACCCTCAACACTCCCCATAAAAATAGCCGCCTTCAGACCTACTGTCACCCTCTGTCATTGAATGATTTGGTTTAATTTCCATCTGTTTGGGATCTTATTTATAAAAACATAATCATCAGGCTATCCTTGAAATACCTCCTTCCCATTTTTCTCTGGTTATAAAGCCTAGCACATTTTATTGTTTAACAATAAGAAAAGGAAAACAGGGATTTCTATAAAGATTTTTGCTTACAATATATAATAAAGCAGAGGTTCCCAAAACAGTATGGTACTGGTACCAAAACAGAGGTAGAGACCAATGGAACAGAACAGAGCCCTCAGAAATAATACCACACATCTACAGCTATCTGATCTTTGACAAACCTGAAAAAAACAAGAAATGGGGAAACGATTCCCTATTTAAGAAATGGTGCTGGGAAAACTGGCTAGCCATATGTAGAAAGCTGAAACTGGAGCCCTTCCTTACACCTTATACAAAAATTAATTCAAGATGGATTAAATATTAAAATGTTAGACCTAAAACCATAAAAACCCTAGAAGAAAACCTAGGCAATACCATTCAGGACATAGGCATGGGCAAGGACTTGATGTCTAAAACACCAAAAGCAATGGTAACAAAAGCCAAAATTGACAAATGGGATCTAATTAAACTAAAGAGCTTCTGCACAGCAAAAGAAACTACCATCAGAGTGAACAGGCAACCTACAGAATAGGAGAAAATTTTTGCAATCTACTCATCTGACAAAGGGCTAATATCCAGAATCTAGAAAGAACTTAAACAAATTTACAAGAAAAAAACAAACAACCCCATCAAAAAGTGGGCAAAGGATATAAACAGACACTTCTCAAAAGAAGACATTTATGCAGCCAACAGACACATGAAAAAATGCTCACCATCACTGGCCATCAGAGAAATGCAAATCAAAACCACAATGAGATATCATCTCACACCAGTTAGAATGGTGATCATTAAAAAGTCAGGAAACAACAGGTGCTGGAGAGGATGTGGAGAAATAGAAACACTTTTACACTGTTGGTGGGACTGTAAACTAGTTCAACCATTGTGGAAGACAGTGTGGCGATTCCTCAGAGATCTAGAACTGGAAATACCATTTGACCCAGCCATCCCATTACTGGGTATATACCCAAAGGAATATAAATCATGCTGCTATAAAAACACATGCACATGCATGTTTATTGTGGCACTACTCACAATAGCAAAGACTTGGAACCAATCCAAATGTCCAACAACAATAGACTGGATTAAGAAAATGTGGCACACATACACCATGGAATACTATGCAGCCATAAAAAATGATGAGTTCATGTCCTTTGTAGGGACATGGATGAAGCTGGAAACCATCATTCTCAGCAAACTATCGCAAGGACAAAAAACCAAACACCGCATGTTCTCACTCATAGGTGGGATTTGAACAATGAGAACACTTGGACACAGGAAGGGGAACATCACACACCTGGGCCTGTTGCGGGGTGGGGGGAGGGGGGAGGGATAGCATTAGGAGATATGCCTAATGTAAATGACAAGTTAATGGGTGCAGCACACCAACATGGCACATGTATACATATGTAACAAACCTGCATGTTGTGCACATGTACCCTAGAACTTAAAGTATAATAAAAATATATATATAAAAAGAATAAAAATAAAAAAACCAAAGCAGAGGTTCCATGCCCTACTGCTTTCTAACACCCTTCAAAACTGAAAATAATAATGTCAAGATTTGGGACAATATACTTTTAGGTAATTATTACATGTAACATAATAATTTTAAAAATTATTCATTCAAGAAATACTTAGTGTTTATTACATATCAGGCACTGATGTAGAAAAATCTCTACTTTCATGAGATTTTTTTTTTTTTTTTTTTTGAGACAGAGTTTCGCTCTTGTTGCCCAGGCTGGAGTGCAATGGCACAATCTCAGCTCACTCAACCTCCGACTCCTGGGTTCAATCAATTCTCCTGCCTCAGCCTCCCGAGTAGCTGGGATTACAGGCATGCACCACCATGCCTGGCTAATTTTTTTATTTTTAGTAGAGGTGGGGTTTTGCCATGTTGACCAAGCTGGTCTTGAACTCCTGACCTCAGGTGATCCACCCACCTTGGCCTCCCAAAATGCTGGGATTACAGGCGTGAGCCACTGCGCCCAGCAGGAGTTGTTTTTTGTTTGTTTGTTTGTTTTGATTTGATTTTTTGGATAGGATCTCACTCTGTTGTCCAGGCTGGAGTGCAGTGGCATGATCTTGGCTCACTGCAGCCTCCAACTCTTGAGTTCAAGTGATTCTTGTGTCTCAGCCTCCTGAGTATCTGGAATTACAGGAGTGTGCCACCACACCCAGCTAATTTTTGTATTTTTAGTAGAGATGGGTTTTTGCCATATTGGCCAGGCTAGTCTGGTACTCTTGACCTCAAGTGATCCAGCCACTTCGGCCTCCCGAAGTGCTGGGATCACAGGCGTGAGCCACAGTGCCTGACTACTACTCTCTTGAGTTTTGAAATTAAATTATTATGTTCAAATAATTACATTACCTAAATATAGAAAATATAAAAAAAATTCACCAATGATAAAGCTTATCCCCATAGAGCTACTATTATAATTTTGAATATTTTTCTAATCTTTGTCTTACGTGTATATTTGCCTTTACATAATTTCCCAAAATACAATTTTTAAAAAAACTAGAATATCAAAAAAGAAAAGGTGTCACTTTTTGGAAATTATTTATCTATGTATAGCTTATTAGAATTTGTACTTAAATTTTAATGTATTATATTTTGCTTTTTTTTAAAAAAAAAAAAAGATAGGCTCAATAAAAAGACACTTAGAGAGGGTTTCCTAAGGATGGGATACAACTTTAAACCTTCTATATAGAAGAGCTAGGAATTTATTTTCTTAAATTTCAATTATAGCCAATTGCTTTTTTCATATCCAAATACTGACTATAACATGAGGCTAGGCAGAAAAGATCAAACTATAATGCTCAAGAAAAAGAAATCCTGATTGACTAAGTAATTGACTAAATTATATTAGCTGTAAATCACATTATCACATCTTCTAGAGGCAGCATCATTATTGTTACCTTGTAGGAAAACATGACATGATGACATTGGTCATTTTTTTTTTGTACAAATTGTCAAAATATTGTCTAAATTTCCCATTTTCTCTGCTCCATTTGGTTTCTTCTACATGTAACTTCTATCTAGTTCATAGTACACTATTCAAAGGAAAATGAGATGAAACTAGTCTAAACATACTCCAGGTCTGAAAAATATATTAAAGGCAAACAGAATGCAAATATTTTACCTGTTTTCCCAGTGTTATGAATGAATGTGTTTTCCAATGATGTTTTATCCCAACCCTGAAATTTAAGTTTCTTAAGATTCACATTTACTTGTGTAAGATCTTCATCAATATTGATAGGAGATTGTTTTGGGCTATTACATGTTGGATATTTCTTTCCCCAATTTTTTTGATTCAGTGCTCCTAGGGAAAAGAAGGAGTAAGAAATTTAGTTTCTTAAATTACCATGCAAAAATTAAACTTTACATTATAGTTAATACATTACATAAAAATAGATGCAATAGTAGAAAAATGTTTGACATCTTTGAACTAATGCATGAAATAATTATGCCTGTATTTAGATTCTGGATTTCAATACGAAACACTACAAAAGGTCTGTAGAACAACCATGCCACTATAAAAAAACAAGTCTATAGAACAACAACCAAGGTTTGGTACAACTTTAGTCTACAACATCTTCTTTTTGTGATCAGGGAGTCAATGAGAACTAACTTTTATGCAAGCTTGATCTAATGGCCACCTCTCATAATGTGACAAGTTCAGGGTTCAGCAATGGCTTTGTCCAGTCATCACAATTCTTTCAAATCAACAAAAAGCTTAATTGTCCTGTAAGGTAGTTAGTCCTAGCCCAGGATTCCAGATTGAAAGGAATCCAGATATAGGAGTAAAGTTCTGACTTCCTCAACACTCTCCATAAAAGTAGCTGCCTTCAGACCTACTGTCACCCTCTGTCATTGAAAGATTTGGTTTAATTTCCATCTGTTTGGGATCTTATTTACAAAAACATAATCATCAGGCTGTCCTTAAAATATCTCCTTCCCATTTTTCTCTGGTCGTAAAGCCTAGCACATTTTATTGTTTAACAATAAGAAAAGCAAAACAGGGATTTCTATAAAGATTTTTGCTTAAAATAAACTAAATTTTCACATGTTCCACAGTATGAAGCGTCCTCTAAACCCAAACTGCCCTTTGTTGCCTTTATTTCACCCCTACCTGAAACCATGAATCACCTCCCGTAATCTTATTTCACTGCATGTTAACTTAGCACCCAAGCAGTGCTAAGCACAGGTATATTCTACTTAAAGTTCTTTTAAAACATTTGAAATATTGAGAGTCCAAGTCTCTGGTTAAACGCTAGCATTTCCATGGCCATCACAAGGAAGAAAGGAGTGGCAGTGTAGTTTTCATTTTATATTCTTCTGAATGCTTTTCTTTCTGAAAATGAGAACGGGTAAGGCCAAGATTTTACATGATTGAGGTTTAGGGGATTATAAGTAAATTTATCTTTGATAAAATCCTAGTCTACACTGTCTTCTTTTGTGATAAGTGAGTCAGTGAGAACTAACTTTTATGCAAGCTCTATCTAATGGCCACCTCTCACAATGTGATGAAAATAACATTGCATAATTTTGCCCTGAAAATAAATAATAATTAGTCACACCATGAAGCCGTCTATACAGTCATGGAAAATCTGGTAATACATCTCATAGTGAGGCATCAACCAGAATCAATAGGTACTGAAAATCATCTTAAAGTCTAGGTCTGTACCCAAAGAGTGTTTGAATACATTGTGTTTTAAATATGCACAGTGATGTGTATTTTGGATTCTAGGAACAGTTTTAATGATTTGAGTAATGATGTTTATTTCACTGTAAGGAACTCTGGCATAGGGACAAGAAAACACTGCTTATTTTACTAATGTCAGTGCAAGAGAATGAAAGAGAATCTGCAGCACAAATCAGTTAGGTCCTCTTCATTGCTCACATTTTTAATACAATATAATAAATTCTAAGCACACTTAGAAAGAGTTACATAGTTGTGGTGCACAGAAACAAAATTTTAAATCTTCAATAACACTGAATATAATGTATAAACCTGCTATTTTCCATCGCATTTTGTGATTCTCTCTACTGGGAACCTAAAAGGCATCTTATACTTAGCATATCACAAACTGAACTCTTTTCTGCTCTGAAATAAGCTCCTTCCACACAGTCTTTGACATCCCCTGAAGTAAGAAGTTATCCTGATGCCTTTGTTTCTCCTTCAGCAAGCTCTTTAGGGTCTGCCTTCAAAATATTTCCCTAATCAGACCTCTTCTTATCTCTACTATTACCACCCTAACCCAAGTCACTGTCATCATTTGCCTGTACCTTGCTACTCTGCAAGCAATATCGCCATCACCTAGGAGTTTGTTGGGAGATTCAGGCCACTATTATAGCCTTATGAAGTCTGAATCTACATTTTAACAAAATGCCTAGGATATTGATATACACATTAAACTTGGGGAAACACTGGCTTAGACTCCACTAGTGCCTTCTATCTGGTTTTCAGAATCTTCTCTTGCTCCTTTCACAATTCTGTAGTAGTACCACCTATGTAGTAAGTGGAATTATGACTTGGCTCCCAAAATTTCCACCCTATGATGTAATCATCCTGTACAATTCCCTCCAATTGGGCATGAACAGGACTTATGAATATGAAGAGAGAGTCGCTTCCTTGATTAGGTTAAATTTGTTGGCAAAGAGGATGGTGGATTACTGCTGTGATTGATTACATTATGTTATAGAAAGCTCCATTTCAGCAAATTGGAGAAAGACTCAAAATGTAGGAGATTTCCTTGCTAGTTTTGGAGAAGTGACCTACCAGGTTGTGAGCTGGCGTGTGGCTAAGAACTGAGACCTGCCTCTGGGAGCTGAGAGCATAACCAGGCTTATAATCACAAAAACAAAAAACAAAAAACACCCAACCAGTGAAACAAACAAACAAACAAACAAACAAACCACAACAACAAAAATCAGGGACTTTAGTCCTACAACTTCCAGGAAGTGAATTCTGCCAACAACCTAAGTGAATTTGGAAGAGGACCCCAGGCTTCAAATGAGACACCTTAATTTCAGATTTGTGAGACCCTAAGCAGAAAAGCCAGCTAAGCAGCCCTTCCTCCTCAGCTCCTGACCCACAGAAACTGTGTGATAACACATATGCAGTATTATAAGGTGGTAAATTTGTAGTAATTTGTTATGCAGCAAAAGAAAACCAATTCAACTCAGTAACTAAAGTACACTTTAAAAATATATGCCAGATCACATTACTCCTTGGCTACAATGCTATTTCATCTCACTCAAAATAAAACATGAGCTCCTTGTTATGGCCAACAGATCCTATATGATGTCCCCGCTCATGTCCTCTCTGCTCCGGTTCTCTACCATTCTGCTTTGATCACTCTGCTCCAGCCACACTGGCTTCCATTCTGTCCCTTGAGCATGCAAAAGCTTGACACTGGCTATCACCTATTCCCGCAATACTCTCCACAGATGTCTGTAAGGCTCAAATGACTTGCTTTCTAACTTCAATCAAATCTCTCCTCAAAAGCATCTACAGGAGAGACTTTCGCTGAACCACCCTGTTAAATAGTATACTTCCTCCCTTGGTAACTCTCCTTGCCCTCTCCCTGCTTCATTTTTCTTCTTTTAACATATTAATTATGCTCATTCATTGTTTCTACATCCCAGTACTTCAGAAAAAAAAAAGACTAGCACATAGTCGGTGTTTGATATGGTTTGGCTGTGTCCCCACCCAAATCTCATCTTGAATTGTAGTCCCCATAATCCCCACATGTCATGGGAGGGACCACGTGGAGACAATTGAATCATTGAGGCGGTTTCCCCCATCCTGTACTCATGACAGTGAGTTAGTTCTCATGAGATCTTCTGGTTTTATAAGGGGCTTCCCCCTTCGCTTGACTCTGATTCTTCTCTCTCCTGCTGTCTTGTGAAGAAAGACATATTTGCTTCCCTTTATACCATGATTGTAAGTTTCCCGAGGCCTCCCCAGCCCTGCGGAATTGTGAGTCAATTAAACTTCTTTCCTTTATAAATTACCCAGTCTCAGGTATGTCCTTATAGCAGCATGAGAATGAACTTATACAGTGTTCAATAAACATTTGTTGAATAACTGAATCAAACCAACAAGAAGTGGTGGCCTTTTGTTTTATGAGTTTGAGCTCGTAAGGATCAAATATAACATGGCATGAAAATGAAAAAATAACCAAAAAAATTTGATCAATAAGAGAAGCATTTCTTTACTCAGCTGTAGGTCTCATTTGATTGTTACATGATAATTTAGTTGAGTAGTCCCTACTAAACTTTTATGGCTAGGTATCAGAGATACCTGAAGTCTGAACTACACGAGGTTAGGACAACATATAGCGCAATGACACCAGGTAACTAGATTATGTTTAAAGTGCATGGAATGATTACACTGAGTGTGGACCAAATTTAAATCACCTACTAGATCATAGTGAGGCAGGATAGGCAGTCAAGGAAGTGACCATGTTCTTGGGATGGGGCAACCATGGTGATCATACAGTCAGCACAATAAACCTCAGTATTTGCATTGTAATTGAGCTCATTCAAGCAAAGCTATCTTCAATAGGGCCTTTCCCTTCTAGAGAGCATGCATATTTTGATTTTACCTGTCCCCAAACTGACCCTATGCTCATTATAATAGTAAAAACCACACCCCTGGGTGGAGTTTTAAGATGCTAATGAAACATGCAACATATGAACAAGCATGTACAGTTACTGCACATGTGCACCAGAAGACCACCCAGAACATGCTTACTAGTAACACCTCTTCCCACCTCCTTATGAATCATCTTTTAAAACTCCCAAAAAGGGAGTCTTATGCTTATTCATTATTTCAACATCCAAGCACTGAAGAAAAAACGAATGACACATAGTAGGTGTCTGATATGGTTTGGCTGTGTCCCCACCTAAAACTCCCTAAAAGGGTGTCTCCCTAGTGCCAGTTTTTGCTGTCTCACCCTTACAAGCAGCCTGTCCTGACTTCTTTCTCTCTCAGGGTATACTGTTTATTCTGCACCTAACTTTCAAAATATCTTTATCCATTGTAATAAATTACTCTATGCTACACCTCCTTTGCTGTGTAGCTCTTGTTTAAACTATTTTAAACCAAGAAGAACTGAGGTATCACTTCAGCTGTCAACAATAGTACTTAGTACCTTGTGGGCTCAACATGCTTTCTTAATTTTCATGATTAAAAAGCAAAATAAAAGAGGCCAAAATAAAACTTAAAAAATGATTTTTTTTTTAGTGGAAAAACCAACAAACAGAAAAATAAACAGAAGTTGAAAAAATAAGAACTTGAGATTCTTCATGCAAAGCACTCTAAAAGAAAGACTGTTTCAAATCACCACGAGTAGAAAAACAAAGGAAATAAACTAGTGAAGTGTTAATATTGTGCACAGGAGCTGGGTGTGGTGACTCACACCTGTAATCCCAGCACTTTGGGAGGCCGAGGTGGGCGGATCACGAGGTCAGGAGTTCGAGACCAGCCTGGCCAATATGGTGAAACCCCATCTCTACTAAAAAATACAAAAATTAGCTGGGTATGGTGATGCGTGCCTGTAATCCCAGCTACTCAGGAGGCTGAGACAGAAGAATTGCTTGAACCTGAGAGGTGGAGGTTGCAGTGAGCCAAGATTGCACCACTGCACTCCAGCCTGGGCAACAGAGCAAGACTGTCTCAAAAAAAAAATTGTGCACAGGAATAAAACAAAGACAAAAGAACCATTAAATACATTTTATCTGCTTTAATAATGAAACATTAGACTAATCTTATTCTAAAACATTATTATTATTATTATTATTATTATTATTATTTTGAGACAGAGCATCTCTCTATTGCCCAGGCTGGAGTGCAGTGGTGCAATCTCTGCTCACTCTAACCTCTGCCTCCTGGGTTCAAGTGATTCTCCTGTCTCAGCCTCCTGAGTAGCTGGGATTACAGGCAAGTGCCACCACGCCCAGCTAACTTTTTGTATTTTTAGTAGAAACAGGGTTTCACCATGTTGGCCAGGCTGGTCTTGAACTCCTGACCTTGTGATCCTCCCGCCTCAGCCTCCCAAATGCTGGGATTACAGGTGTGAACCACTGTGCCTGGCCTTAAACATTACTTTTTTGAATTCCCAAATTAATATGTTTAATGTGGCAACTGGAGACATCAGTTCATATAGTGGTTAAAGGCCAGGATGATGCATCTGAGAAAGCAGGTATACAGAATTCACTATATTGTAGCCACCTGAGTGTTATTAGGAACTATTGTGAAGGAAGAAATTAGGACACTGCCTGTAGTTGCAGCAGATTATCAGGCTGATTAACACATAAAGAGGACAGCAGAATACTAAATAGGAGCTCCAGAGAATTAACCTAAGTTATTCATTTACATATTTATCCATGCTTTCATCCACTCATTGACTTACCTGAATTAGTAACACTCCTATAAATTTCCCATGCTTACCTCCACTGAAGCACTTAACATACTGTATTTTGTCTGTTAACTTGCCTATTTCATCTACATGCCATTGCCAAACTCTGAGTCTGGCATATGTTAGAAATTAAATGCTTGTGAAATAGACTTTGTGCATCAAATGAATGTCTTCAATATTTGCATACGTATGCATCCTCTATTCCAAGCGGAATGGAAAGCAATTCTAGGCTCCGCAGGGGATACGCATGAGTTCAAGTTTGTTAGCTTGCCTGTGTGTTTATTATTACATTCCAGAAGGGTGGGGGTCTGTTAAATAAATAGACAAATGCTAAAAAGGAGTAGATGCAATGAAGGAAAGTAAACATGGATAACAAGACACACTAATGCAGGCCTTGAAGGATGGACAGAATTATGACAGGCAGAGGAGAAACCAAGCACATATCTTGCTGAATGATGAGCCTGAGCAAACTCATGGTGGCAGAAAAGTTCAGGCAATGCTGACAGCAGTGAGCAGGCCAGCTTAGTCCAATGAGCAGAGTGAATGCAGGGGTATTCTACAGAGGGAGACAGAAAGGCAGATTATGATCCATGTGCCTGGGGAGACCAGTGAGAGGCAGGGAGGCTTTGGAAGAGGAAGGAGCTCATAGATGTCTCATCAGAGAAACTAAGCAGGCAGGAATGCAGGATAGGCAGGAAGGGAGAGGCTGCGTAATGACCATTTTCATAGACATCTCCTATTTGTCTTAATTTGATTTTTACAGCATCACTGTACTTATTTAAACTACAATATGTCTGTCTCTTATTTATGTTTCTTTAATGGAAGAAAATGTTTCAGTACCTTTCTTAGAGCCTGGCACTTAAGAATTAAATCAACGTTTGCTGAACGACAAAAAAAAAAAATGCTTCAGTGAGATAACCGTAGTTAGCACCCTTTAATGTTCATGTGCTATACATATTTGACCAATTAGTGTTCCAGATAGAAACATACCTTAAAAAACATTGTGTGTGAGGAAACGTTACTCCACCAGCCATTAACACAAGAATATGAACTAAGAAAAACTAAAGTCTAACAGGGGAAATGTGTCAGAAAAAAATACCAATGCAGGTTTTTGAATATTTGAAGGAAAAAATGATTAAATTATGCAGATGAAATAAAAGTCAAAGAAAAAAATTAATGTTTCCCTCTTATTTTCTCTCATTTTTGCATTGTTCTTGTTGAGTCTTACCTTCAAATATCAGATTAATGGAAAAATAATTATAATTGTTTGTAAGTTATTCAGCAGAGATCCACTGAAAATTAATAGATATATAATAAAAATCTCAATGTTGATTTCTTTTAAAGATTCCTATAAATTGCTATTTAATCAGATTTTAATAACAGTATACATAGAACTGATTCTTTAAAGATCAAGATATTGTTAAGAAAAAATATATATTACTTTCATTCTTAATGAATTTCTTGTGTAGTCCAGGTTTTGAGGTAAGAAAATGTTTGTGTCTCAGCTAGGCGTGGGTGGCTCACACCTGTAATCCCAGCACTTTGGGAGGCCAAGATGGGCAGATCACCTGAGGTCAGGAGTTTGAGACGAGCCTGGCCAACATAGTGAAACCCCATCTGTACTAAAAATACAAAAAAATTAGCCAGGCGTGTTGGCGCACGCCCGTAATTACAGCTAATCGGGAGGCTGAGGCAGGAGAATCCCTGGAACCTGGGAGGCGGAGGTTGCAGTGAGCCGAGAGCATGCCACTGTACCCCAGCCTGGGTGACAGAGCAAGACACCGCCTCAAAAAGAATGTGTCTCCACATATTCACATATAAAAATATTCTGAAAAGGCAAAATAAGTGTAATATTGAAGTGAAGACTACAGTAATCTTCATAGCATCTAGCACCAGTTGCCTTGAATAAACTCTACTTAGTGCTCCATACACTGTAAGTCATAGCTTTATAAATTACCTTGGGCTTGCTTTCTACATGCTAACAAACATACCCAAACACCAAAATTAAAAAGTCATTTAAACAGTATAAAGCTATCAGTGGTGAGTGACTTGGATTCAAATTTTAGTTTAATAAAATACAAAAATGAAGTAATTCAGTATTTTTTCAATGATAAGTAGCATAAAATTTAGAATTCCAGCAAAATGGAAAGATGATATACTTAAGAAGACACTTTTTAGATGCAAGAGTTAGCTGTTTGAAAAAAGGGGCTTCCTCAAAGATAAGAAACTAAAACCAAAAGCTGCTGAATAACAATCACTAACAGATTATATGTCTTAATGATAAATGCCATCACATAAACTGACTCAAAGCAAAGGAAGAGGGATGTCTGTGACAACTTCTCATGTTGAAAATAAGAATGAGGATGTGTTTCCATGCACAAATCAGTGTGCCTTTTTGTGTTTTTGGCCAGAGGTTTCTGCAGCTAGAAAGAGCAAAGCAGTTGCCCAACGTTGATTATAGCTGCTATTAAAACTGAAATAAAGGCAGATCAAATGCAAACAATTTCAGAATGAGAACCTGTTTCGTCAAACTACATTTTCCTTTGTTTTCTGTACTAATGGGACAATCACATCAGGACAGCAAAAAATCTTTTCAAGTCTGGCTGATATATGCTATTGGCAGGGGGTTACAGGTCAGAGAAGGTAGTTATCAATTTATTTAGGAAAATTCTAGCACAAATTCCTTTTAGCATTATGATATTTAAGAAAGTCATTAACTAGGGGCCGGGCGTGGTGGCTCATGCCTGTAATCCCAGCACTTTGGGAGGCCGAGACGGGCGGATCACGAGGTCAGGAGATTGAGACCATCCTGGCTAACATGGTGAAACCCCGCCTCTACTAAAAATACAAAAAATTAGCCAGCCATGGTGGTGGGCACCTGTAGTCCCAGCTACTCAGGAGGCTGAGGCAGGAGAATGGCTTGAACCTGGGAGGCGGAGGTTGCAGTGAGCTGAGATTGTGCCACTGCACTCCAGCCTGGGCAACAGAGTGAGACTCTGTCTCAAAAACAACAACAACAACAACAAAAGATGTCATTTTGAAGGTTAGGAATGTTCCAGAGGATTCTTATTTGGGAGTGAGGAAGGGAGAATGGCAAAGGATGACTTCTAAAATCCCGACGGGGACATACCTGAGTGTATCATGGTACCAGTCACGTTGGTAGAGATTATGAATAGAAAGACTTTGAATTTCGTTTTGAACCTGCAGACTTGGAAATTTCAATGGAAGTTCATTAAACAACAAAAAATATGGGTCTGGGAGGCACTGGTCTGGGGAACATCAGTGTACAGATAGCATACATTTATAACCACAGATATGGGTGAAATACTTCAATCAAAGTTGACAAGCAAGAAGAGGATCAGTGATAAGATGGTGGAAAGCACTAACATTTAGGCAGCATAAAGGGGAGCAGTGGCACCAAATGGACTTAAGAATGAGTGGCCTGAAAGGGAATTGCAAACCCAGGAGAAAATGGTATCATGAAAGTCATAGAAACATGGTTTCAACAATGAGTATCCCAAAGTGGGTATCATACACAGCAGAGACCGTCTAAGTGTCATGAGTGAAGAATGAGTTTGGATTTGGTTATTTCCCAACTCCAAACCCCACATTCATAGAATAAATCAATTTCCGTGAAATGATAGACTTGCAATTCAGACTACAGAGTGAATTAGAGGGAACCAGTAGAATTAAAGCACTTTTTAAAAACAGTTTGCTGTGAACGAAAGAAGGATGATAAGGTGGCACACAGAGACAGACGCAAGGATGAGAAATGGATTTTTTTAAGACAGAGGGAAACATAAGTATGTGTATATATTGAGAGGAAAGAATTATTAAAAGAAAGAGTTTGAAGTTATGGAAAGTTGATGATCAAATATCCCAAAAGAGAAAAAACAAAGCATGAATAGACTATTATTAGCCTAACGGAGGAAAGAAGCACAAGAGAGTCATGGAATATGTATTCATATGGATTTAGCTATATTTAGAATAGGGAAGTGAGAAATCTGATGTTCATGCCCTAGTATTTCTGTTTTACAGCTGCATCCCATCACATGGGAGGAGAAGTTTGGCAGTTGAACTAACATGAGCTCAGTCTCAGCACCACCACTTACATGAGCCTCAGTTACCTTATCTGTAAAAGAAAGAATAATCTCCACATCTCAGACTGTGCAAATTAAATCAGATAATATATGTAAATGGGCAGGCAGACAGTACAATCTTTTCAGCGCCTTTCCCTATTTTCTCAGAAAAACTGGAATCAGTATCATTCACTGCAAGGGAGGAGCAGGTGTGAGAATAGGCTTGAGGAAATAGTGAAGAATAAAATCGTGGACTTTTAGGCTGAGGGAAAGCACTGAGGGCTCTCCTGATGTGGGAGACCATAGAAGCACCATTTAAAAGTGTGTATTGGAAGAAGCAGTGGTGAGAATGACCCCTGGACAGACCAAAGCTCGTGCAACGCTGCATTCCGTGCCCAGCTGCATCCCACACCCAGCACCTACATCCCACCACCATCGCCGCCACCATGCCCAAGAGAAAGGCTGAAGGGGATGCGAAAGGAGATACAGCCAAAGTGAAGGATGAACCACAGAGAAGATCCGCGAGATTGTCTGCTAAACCTGCTCCTCCAAAGCCAGAGCCCAGGCCTAAAAAGGCCCTGCAAAGAAGGGACAGAAGGTACCCAGAGGGAAAAAGGGAAAAGATGATACTGGCAAGGAGGGGAATAACCCTGCAGAAATGGAGACCAGGCACAGAAAGCTGAAGGTGCTGGAAATGCCAAGCGAAGTGTGCGCATTTTTGATAACTGTGCACTGGTGACCGTACAGTTTGAAATATTTTTATCAAGTTTTATAAAAATGCAGAATTTTGTTTTACTTTTTTTTTAAGCTATGTTGTTAAGACACAACATTTCATTATTGTTTTTTGGGGGGGAAGGAGCATATGTCACTAATAAATGTCTCCAAATCTGGATTGATGTGTGAAACACCTTTCCCTTCTAGTTTTGAGAGACTTCCTCTTGGTTCCCAGGAGGAAAGATTTCCTGACTTTGACATACATGGCCACCTTGGTGCAAAAGCCTTGTGGTATGGAAAACAAATTAGTTCTTATGTTTTCTTCTCCCTTTCCACCTTCCAGCATAGACTTAACTCCCTTAAACCCAGACATCTGTTGGGACCGGAATCCCATTAATTGGTCACCAATGCATCAGGCAATCTGGACTTTCCAGTGGTGCCACTGAGATGGCGTGCCTCAAAAGAGCAGTGGTTATGTTTCTAGATTGTGAATCTTCAAATAAATTCTGCCATTTTCATTTCATTTCTGAAAGTCAGGGTCGGTTGTGAAAAGTTGTTAAAAACATGCTAAATGTGAAATGTCAACCCTCACTCAAAACTTTCCCTGCTCAGTGCATCAGATGAAGACTTCATTGAGTTTTATAGTGGCTTTCTGATTTTTGGTAGTCCATTAGAGAAGGATTTTTGAAAGTTGTTGTATACTGTTAATAATTGTCTGCCCATGTCCTGACTGAAATTCCAGGATTGTTTATGGAAAGTGTCTTTAATAAAGCTGGATACAGTTTGGCTTAGAAAAAATAAAAATAAGAAAATAAAAGTGTGTATTTTTGGTTTAACTTTTCAATTTTTAAGAAATGTTTGGGAAAGTCAATATTCCTGATGGACAAGCAGAGAGGACGGGTAGTTGCAGTCCTAAGTGGAAATCAGTAGGACGAGTGTGAGTAGGATGTATAAAAAGCTAGAGAACCGGAAGTTCTGGCGAGAGGATGCTGAAGCTCTCTCCCCACCACCCCCATCTCTAATCTGGTATGGGGAAAGAAAGGTAATTTTTAAAAAGCTATCAAACCGTCAGAACCCCAAAGTCCTCCTATCTTTCACTTTAAATTATAAGATGATAGAGTGATAGTGCTGAAACCCAATACAGCAGTGTTTCTGTTGCTGCAGCCTGGTATCAAGTATTTAATTAAAATTGGAAAAATCGCAGATAAAATTTAACAAACTCCCATAACAACAGAGAGTTCTTGTTGCTCTATCACCCCACTGACAAGACACCACTTCAGAAGAAAGAAAAGGCTCAGAAATAAGGTGACACTGTGACTAATGTTATGACCTTTATATTTGCCTGATTCTGTCTAATTGCACCTACTGAATTTTAATACTCAGATTCAGACTGAAGGCAATGCAGGTTGATTAATTACAGGACTTTTCTGTAGCTCTTGCTGTTAACTAGCTGCCCTCAATGTTAACTAACTGCCCTCAATGAAAGGCAGGCAAACTATTTATGGAATTATGAGAGAAATGGAGTGAGATTTCTTTCCTTTGTTGCTGCAGTCTTGTTATTACCAATGAGACGGCAAATGCAGAACAAAACAAACAAACAAACAAACAAACAAACAAACAAAGCCCTGGTGGAAATTACCCCCTGGTTTGGGAAATAAAAATCTCTCTTCTTGCAGAATAGCTCTGAAAGTTGCCTTAGGGTCATCATAAGCCCTCTTGTGGTCATTAACTTTCCCCCTTCTTCAATAACTGATGAGCTAAGTTCTCATAGCACAGAAATAGCAGTGCAATGGAAAACAACACAAGTCTCTGACAGTGACACTACCATCAGGGCTGTACTCGATGCTTATTATCCACATACTTATTATAGATATGGGGCATGACTACAGCTCTGTTTCCTACCTTTGGTAAAAGGGTCAATGACACAGAGTTGCAGTCTGAGACACAGTGGCAACCTGGTATCCTTCTATTCATGGTAGGACCTCTGCTAAACCACAGCACTGTTTCATTGTTTTGGTTGAAGTCCATGCTGCCCATATGGCAGAAGCTTCTGGCTTGATTCCTATTTGAGTCATCGGTTCCTCCTTTCTGTATACACTTATCACAGAATACTCTTACATCAGATCTCCTAGGTGCATTGTTACTGGTCACATTCAAGGAACAAGAAAGAAGCTGTGGATCCATTATGATAGCAATAAATCTGCTGCCACAGCTGGGAATTCTGTATTTTATATTATCCACAGATCCCATGAAAACTTAACGCTGCTGATTGCAGCTTTTATTTGTTCATTTGTTTACTAATTTATCAAATATTTATGATGTGTCTAGTGTGAGACAGAATATCTACCTGGTACAAAAGATTCAAAGATGAATAAAAGTGCCATCATCAAAGAACTCATGTTCTAGTGAGAACCAAAGATATAAAAACTGTCAATTATAATATAATCTAATGAATATAATAGCAGAAATATGCATAGGGTATTCCAGGGACACCAAAGAGAGATACCTAACCCAGATGGGATATGAGACAAGTAAGGCTTTCTAGATAAAAAAGGTACTTGAAATAAGTCTCAATAAACAGGTATCCAACTGAAGGTAAGGAAGAAATTCATGGCTGAAGGCATCTAGGAAGACAGAGTGCATGGCTGTTTGGGAAGAATAGTAGGAGGTTCTATGTGCTCAGACATGGAATGCAAGGCAGTGAGTGGAGGGGCTGTAAGAATAAATGGAAAAATTTGGGGGCTTTGCATGCCAGAACAAGGGCTTTAAAATTTTTCCAGTAAGCTATTGAAGGTGTTTAAGATGCAAGTGTCACGGTCATATTTAAATTTTATGGAAGTAACTGTGGTTACAGAGTTAAGGAAGACAAAACTGAAGGAGATAGGTCAGTTAGAAGGTTCTACCAATTGGTAAGGTGAAGATTATTACGGATCTAAACTAGGGCAGAGATAAGAAGAAAGATAGATTTGAGAAAGATTTAAAAGTTAAGATTTAATATTTGAGAAAAAATTCAGAACTGGTTAGTTGATTAGCTGTGGGGTGGAGACAGAGGAGGGAGTGAATGGATGAATGATCACTTTGATGACTCTGACTGATGACTGAGGATGATGGTGCCACCAGCCAAAAGCCACAGCATCATTTCCTCCAGGAACTGATTGCTGAGTCCCTTGTCATCCTTTACGGCCATTGTACAATGATGCATTAGGTTCAGATGGTGGGTGGCTGGGAAGAAGGGGAACAATCACCGAATCACCGTTTTCTTTGATCTACACCGTTTTCTTTGATCTACACTGAGCTCTCCTCAATGGCACTGACAACCAATGAGTAGCAAAAAATAGCTGAAGTGAACTATTCCTTAGGTGAATTATTTGTTGTCAGTGTGGCCAGAGAGGCACCACTGGCATCCCGGAATCTCTCAGATGTCTCCAAGGACTGAAATAATGCCAAAAATTTAGCCTGATGATTCTGTACAAGAGAAAAGTTAGTCTTCACCTTGCTTTCTTTGTATTGCAAAGTGATAATAAAGGCTGACATAAAAAATAATTTAATGACAATGGATCTTTTCAAGTATGTACATAGCTGAATAATAATAAACATTATGTGACACCAGAGATCATCTGCATTGTTTTTCATAAAGACCTGTTTGCCTTTTCCATTCATCTACCTTTTCCCAGTCTGACTATTGCATCATTGTCTTTTCAAACCAAGTGAAAGTTTGATAGACACTCATACAGATATCATTTGAGGAAAATTATGACACCTAAAATGTATTTCTTCACAAGCAATTTGTAACAAACAGTCTAATGAGAGCAATACAACCTGTGAAATATAAAATAGATGAAAAATTAATACCCAAATTAAAGACCTAAAATGAGAAAGTAAAAAAGTGCTTAAGTGATAATTAAACCAAACTCCTATTTAAAGATAGCAAATTTATGGCTTGACTTTTTAAAATCTTAAAAGTGACTTCAAGAATTAGAGATAATTTTTTCAAATGTGACATTAAACAGCTTGCCTATTGCTGCCTCTAACCTCTTTCCTGAATTTCCACTTATTTTTTTTTTAATTAGTGTCAATCAAGAGACTCATAAGCAGGGCAGAAGCCTGAATACTGACCCTTTTCCTTTTTTCTATCTCATTTCTTAAGGATGATGTTTAAATTATGTGTTTTAGTATAAGTAATTCTGGTACATGGCAATTTATAAATCAGCTAAAACAAGCTGATCATCAGCTTACATTGCAAATAGACTCATTGCAATAGTTCATTATATTAGCATGTGCCTCTGCTCTTTAAATGTATACATAAAAAGGCTAAGAGAAAAGCTTTAAACTAAAATGTTAGGAGTCATTGCCAAGGGATTATTAATCTCAAAGTAAATTATTAAACTCATTATGAAAGCCAACTATATTTGATTTTTAATAAATTGATTCTTCAAAACTTTTCTTTTCTTTTCTTTTCTTTTTTTTGAGACAGTGCTCATTCTGTCACACAGGCTGGAATGCAGTGGAGTGACTGTAGCTCACTGAAGCCTTGAACTCCTGGGCTCAAGTGATTCTACTGCCTCAGTCTCCCAAGTAGCTGAGACTACAGGCATGTGCCACCACGCCTAGCTAATTTTTAAAATTCTTTTGTAGATATAGAGTCTCTCTATGTTGCCCAGGATGGTCTTCTACTTCTGGCCTCAAGCAATCTTCCTGTCTTGGTCTCCCAAAGCACTGGAATTACAGGTGCCAGCTACCTTCAAGTCTTTATTATGCTAAAAAAAACCAAAAACAAACAAAAAAAAAAACACTCACCGGGCGCGGTGACTCACGCCTGTAATCCCAGCACTTTGGGAGGCCGAGGCCGGCCAATCACGAGGTCAGGAGATACAGACCATGCTCGCTAACACGGTGAAACCCTGTCTCTACTAAAAATACAAAAGATTAGCCAGGCATGGTGGTGGGCGCCTGTAGTCCCAGCTACTCGGGAGGCTGAGGCAGGAGAATGGCGTGAACCCGGGAGGCGGAGCTTGCAGTGAGCCGAGATCGCGTCACTGCACTCCAGCCTGGGCGACAGAGCGAGACTCCGTCTCAAAAAAAAAAAAATAAATAAATAAATACACTCGCATGGATTTAAAGGTATCTAAACTTGTGTCTACTTTTTCAGCCCAGGGGAAGATTCTCTAACAGTCTATTCAGTAACAGTATATTTAAGTAGTTTCTCTTTTTGGATGAGGAGGTTCCTTGCCTTTGTTTAACTGGACAGAGAAGGTTTATCAGGAAGCTGGGGCAAAGGAAGTGAAGCAGGCACTAAGAAGTGAAAACCCCTGAGAAGTCACAGAAATTCTAAGGAGGGCTTAGGACTTCTACAGGTAGTGGAATTTGAGGAGATGAAGAGGCAGGCTGGCTTTTGAGCATAACTCACATCTTTGAAAGGTTGAGAACCCCAGCTGACACCTGTTTGAGACATTTTTAACTCATTAATACTGAGGAAGGGTCAAAGTTAAGGACAAGGTAAAAGTCAACAATGCACTTACAGGTCAGCAAATTCTCTGTTCGCTATAGTTTAGTGAATGCAATGCCTATGTTTTCACATTTGCCACTACCAAATAATAAACACCACACTTCTGAAAGGTGTTCACATCAGAGTCATATTAGGACATTTCTTCAAATAAATCACTCTTTTTCACTACTCAAAATAAAACTTTTAAAAGTGATACTAGTAATATCAAAAATTATTACAAAGTATTTTTTCTTCTGTGGTAAAGGTAATGCTAGTAGCAATGAGGTTGTATCTCTCTCAGCTCCAAGAAGACAGCAGTATCCTTTGTTTAAGAAATTGAACTAAAATTTTGGAAGTTTCAAATAAGTTGATTCTAGATCATATCTCTATAAAAACTGACAAACTGATTTGGAATAAAACATTTATTCTCAATTAATTCATTGTGATTTCACTTGGTAGAACTCTAGAACATAAAATGGAAGAAATCTTCCAGATCTAAAATCTAATTTGATCATAATTCCTCATGCCTTGTATTGACTCATTTGGATCTTATAATCTTCTAAATCAAAATTATATTTTATGACTTAGTCTTCTGATACCATATTCAAAGCATACATATCTATAACTTTGATGGGTAATTAGAAAATAAATTATGGCCACAAATACGTTCTGTTTCTAAATTTGACTTTGTTTGAACTTCTCTTATTCCCTGGATATTCAACAGTCTGCTACTTGTTGTATTAGTTATTACATATTTTCTAGTAACACTCCTAAGTCTGAAAATACAAATATGAATTTTCTTTCAGTGAGACTAAGGGCTAAAAGAAGAAGACATACAGATAAACAAATCAATGCAACGAGAATTACAGGTAATCTAATAAGGATTGTGCACATGATCACTTCCCTGGGGTCTCAGTATAGGTTTTGAAGAGGAGATAATATTCAGTGTAGAAATTTGCATACATACTTACTAAGGCAGGGCAGGGCTACTCCCGCTTTCTAGTCTGAGCCAGATCACCAGTCCCCTTGATAACTAGAGAAGACATGGCAGTTTCTGTATTTCATTGCAAGCCTACTATCTTGGATTTTACTTTGCTTCTTTATCACTATCTGGCATCAGGTTTCTATTCCATGCTCTGTCAAATCAAGTATGTTGAATTCTGATTATCCTGTCTTCTGATGATAACTTGTCCATCAAAGAATTTCAGGATTGGGAAAAACCACATTAGTTCCTGACATGGTTTGTCTGTGTCCCCACCCAAGTCTCATCTTGAATTCCCATGTGTTGTGGAAGAGACCTGGTGGCAGGTAATTTAATCATGGGGGCAAGTCTTTCCTATGCTGTTCTAGTGATAGTGAATAAGTCTCATGAGACCTGATGGTTTTAAAAGCAGGCATTCTCCTGCACAAGCTCTCTCATTTTTTGCCTGCCACCATCCATGTAAGATGTGACTTGGTCATCCTTGCCTTCCGCCATAATTGTGAGGCTTCCCCAGCCATGTGGAACTGTAAGTCCAATTAAACCTCTTTCGTTTGTAAATTGCTTAGTCGCGGGTATGTCTTTATCAGCAGCATGAAAATGGGCTAATACAGTTCAATTACCCATTATTGCTTGAATTCACTATAGGACACTCTCAATAACAGGTTTTTCTACTTATATTTAAATACCTTTGATATTGGAGTCTCTATCTCTCCCAGAATACTTTATTCCAATTTTGGATTTTTCAATGTGAAAAAAAATATTTCCTCTATCAAAGTAGGTTTCTGTAGCTTTTATATTTCTCTCCAAATTGTACCTACTGGGGGCCATCCAAAATGCTTAGTTATTTTTCCATATGAAGGCCCCATAAATATATCAATACTGGCATTGATGTCCCATGTCTCCCTAGAATGTATAAAGCCAAACTGTGCTCTGACCACCTTGTAGTTTCCTGAGCCTTATCTTTTTCATGATACAGTCAAAACTGCTCCTCATATGTCAAGATTCTACCAATCAAGGGGCCTTCTGCCAAATACTCTCCGATTTGTCCATAATCTTTTTAAAGTTTAGCACCTAGAGTTGGGCACAGTATTTTGAATGGAGCAAAATATGATAATATAGATGAGTTTTCTAGGCTATAAAACATGCCTTCAACTTTATCATTATAACAACAGTAATTCATATGTGCGTGGTACTTTCTTTGGGAAATGTGAAAGGAAAAAAAACTTGGGGCCCCCAAATCACTAAACTAAAGGGAAAAGTCAAGCTGGGAACTGCTTAGGGCCAACCTACCTCCCCTTCTAATTAAAGTCACCCCTCTGCTCACTGAGATAAATGCATATCTGATTGTCTCCTTTGGGGAGGCTAATAAGAAACTCACAATAATGCAGCCATTTGTCTCTTTTCTACCTATGACCTAGAAGCCCCCTCCTTGCTTCCAGTCTTCCCACCTTTGCTTCGAGTTGTCCCACCTTTCCAGACAGAACCAATGTTCATCTTGTGTGTGTTGACTGATGTCCTATGTCTCCCTAGAATGTATAAAGCCAGACTGTGCTCTGACCACCTTGGGCACATCGGGACCTCCTGAGGCTGTGTTATGGGCTTGCATCCTCAACCCTGGCAAGATAAACTTTTTAAATTAACTGAGACCTGTCTCACATTTTTAGGGTTCACAGGAAGTAACACTATATAATGTTCAGAATGCATGGGTTCTGAAGTCACACTTTCTGGGTGAAAACACTGTCTCTACCATTTATCAACAAATAACCTTGAGTAAGTCTCTTCACTTCTCTATTCCTCAGGAATATTACCTAAAAAAAAAAAAAATGGATTGTATGAGGACCAACCTCACAGCATCACTGTGAGGTTTAAATAACAAAATAATGGCTGCTGGACTCTCCATTTTATCACACTCTGCTTTCTCTTCCATAAGCAGCCACTTTTCTTATCTCAGTGCCTTCGCACTTTCCCTGCCCTTGCCTGAAACATTCATCCTCTACTTGTCACCAGATGGCTACTTTTCTTTCTTCATACCTCAGATGAAATGTCTCCCATTTGGAAAGGTCCTCCCCACCTTTGCTAAGCTATTGTCTATCATATCAACATGTTTATTCTTATTTATTTATATTTCTAAAATAGACATGGGGTTTCACTGCATTGCCCAGGCTAGTCTTGAACTACTGGGCTCAAGAGATCCCGCTGCCTCAGCCTCCCAGAGCGCTAGGATAACAGGCATGAGCCACCATGTTTGGCCAGGTTTATTCTTTTCACAATAGCTATCATACTCTGCAATTATTTATTTATTTGCTTTTTTTGGTCTTTTTCTTTCTAATAGAATGTAAGCTTAATTAGAGCAGGTACTTACTTACCTGTTCTGTTAACAGACAGGTGATACTCACCAATTTATTCATTCAATATTAGTCCCTGTAGTTAGTATTGAATGAATAAATTAGTGAATATCACCTGTATTTGTTGTTGTTATTGTGCTTATCATCATTTCCCTTAGCTCTCATGCCTGTTCTCTGAACAGGCAGGTAAATGAATTCACATTTTCAGAATAACTAAAATAACAGCAAAATGCATTTCACAAATGTGAGGGGAAATATGGTCACTAAAATGGATAAATCCACTAAAACTCCCCAAACATTTCACAGCAGCTACCGAGAATTCAGTTCAATAGTGCGTGAAATTCCATTTCATGTGTCCCAGTTTGTCATGTGAGAAAATTTCAGTATGCACATTAAAAGGAATCACTTATTTAGAACCCAAAATGATATGTTACCATGCCAGATCTATTTAATTTAGTCTGGATTTGGCCTCATAAAAAAAAAATCTTCAAATAGAGGCTAATAAACTGGTAAAGAGCTACAAAGCAAATCCTCAGTGCAACATCCTGCTTCCATTTATTTTAGTTAGAACCGCTGGCAGACATGAATAAAGGGAAGCCCATATTAAATGATATATTTCTTAGACTTTTGTATTGTTTTATAAGCCAAATAATTTTTATGGAAAAATCATTAAACTGGATATAGAATTACTAATTGATTTATCTTTGTTTTTCAATTTAAACTACAGGGTAATTCAATAGTTGAAACTAGTATAATCTAATTTCTGCTTTGGTAGGCTCATATTTGTGAGCTCTATGATATTATCTTTCCCTTTCTTTCTTATTAAGCAATTAAAATTTTCATGCATCGTCAGCATAGCAGAGCAACACATAGGACTATGGAGTTAAATATTAAAAGGCTTCATTTTAACCTTCTTCAACTTGTACTTCTCTTTTAAAATGCAAGTCCTATTAAGTAATTGTTGTATATCTTTTTTTTTTTTATAATTTTAAACTTAGAGAAAAGGTTCAAGTACAGAACAGACTTTTTTTTCTTGAACCACTGGAGTGAATAGTGCCAACATCCCACTGACACTGAGTACTTCAGCCTGAGCTTCTTAAGGACAAGAATATTTTCCTATATAATCACAATATACTCTTCAAAATAAGGAAATTAACATTGATAACATTAGTACCATGGAGTCCTTATGCTTCGTTCAGATATTGCCAATATAATAACCTTTAGGGAATAAGTTTCCATTCAGTAACACATGTTGCCTTTACTTGTCCTCTCTCGTTCAATCTGACACAGTTCCTCCATCTCTTCTCGACTTTCGTAATCTCAATCCTTTTGAAGACTACAGTTATTTTATAGAATGTCCCTCAATTTGAGTTTGTCTGATGTCTCTTCAGGTTATGCATTTTTATTAGAAACGTCACAAAAAATATGCTCTTTTCTTCTCACTGTATCTTAGTCAGTGGTACAGGATCTCTGTAAAGGTAATTTTTGCTGACGTTTACTTTGATCACTTGATTAAAGTATCTGTCAGGCTTTCCACTGCAATATTATTCTCTGTCTTGTAATTAGAAAGTATTTTGAGGGGAGGTATTTTGAAGTTATAGCAATATCTCATTCTTCATTAAATTTATTTTTTTCAATTCTCAATTTATATTAATTTGAACTCAAGGTTTCCTATTTTGTTCAACAGGATACAAAATATTACTACCACTGTTTATTGGAGCTCTATGGGACCTTCTCGCTACTTTGTTGTCAGTTGTCTCTTTTCCAGGAAATGAATTAAGAGTGATGACAACTGTTTTTAGGATTAGTATAGGGAGTAAACCAGTTTTTTACATTTCTCAGGCTCCCAGAGGAACAATTTGAATTCCCTCTCTGACTTATATTCTCTCTCATTATATTCACTGGGGTACAGGTCTTAGGATTCAAAAGCTGTTCCCATGTCTGTGGTTATTACCACATACAGGAATACCTAGGGATGTGTTAAGATCCTCCATGCGGCCAAACAGTGGCTCTATATAGTTGAACAGTTCCTTAGGTTTTTACAGGCAATCACTAAATCCTTTCCCATTTCTCTGGTTGAAAGAAAATTCTTGTTTCAATTTCAAGAGCACTGAACAACTATTTCCCACTCAGATCAGAGCATGAGTACTTCTCAGGCTTCTCTTACTAGCAGCCAAGACTCCTGAGCAACTTCCAATACTATATACAGTGTGGGTGTGGTGCAGAACTTTTAATGAGTGAAGGAGATTTACACTTAGGGAATGGTGCCTACTGAATTCTACTCTGAAGGTAACTTCCTGTACTTAATGGTAATAATATGACCAAAATGACAAGCTGCTTTTTTACAAACTTTTGAGAAAATTACCCCATCACTAAGTCTAACATTCTTCCTAGGGAGGTGGAGAAGAGGCTGTCTTTAAACTACGAGGAGTTTTCCATGGCTTTAAAAAGAGAGAGAATTCCTTCTTGCATTGGGCATAGATTAAGATGTTATGCTTGGCACACTGTCTCTAGGGTGTGTATAAGAAGAGGTACAGAATTTAAAGGAGAAGTAGGTATGACTGGTTGCAAATATCTGTGAGAACTGGGATGAGCTCAGTCATTTTTCAGGAGTTCCCCACATGAACTAGCTCATTATTAGGCATGGCTTGATTGGAGCTACTCATGTAACCTGGAGGTATACTGTGAATCCTCCTAAGCCAAGGGGGAATATTGAGTCTGAGGAAATGAAAAATAAAAAAATGAATTTGCAAAACTTACAACTTTGAAAATGTACCAAAAAAATTACCTACTTAAAAAAAGACAATGGCTTGATCTTCAAAATTTAGTAGCTGTTGATCTACATGTATCAATGGTTTTAATCTCTATAATTCTAGAATATCTCCAGAGAATAATAGTCTAAAATGACTGTACTCAATATTCATGAATGAGACTGCATCTTACACAGTATAGTTTAATGTGTCACTGTGAGTCATTTCCTTTACCTATAGATATTTGTTCTCTGTTATTTTAGAATTCAAGCTCCATCTGGGGCACTTAGTCTTTTTTATTTTCTGCTGGCAGATAGGAGTGCTTAATTAAGATGTGTTGAATATATGAATAAGTGAATGAAATTATTACACAACAAATGCAGGCTCTACCATTCATTATGAGATTTTCAAATAAATCCTCTGCTAGAGTAATGGGAACTGACAGATAACATTTTTTTGGACAACTATTAAAACTTTCAAACATACTCCCCAGGGTTACAGACTAAATTTCAAGAAAAATGGAGCCCAATGACAAAAAATGTAATCTGGGCCGGGTATGGTGGCTTGCGCTGTAATTCCAGCGCTAAAGGAGGCCGAATCAGGTGGATTACCTGAGGTCAGGAGTGAGAAACCAGCCTGGCCAACATGTTGAAACCCCGTCTCTACTAAAAATATAAAAATTAGCTGGACATGGTGGTGCCTGCCTGTAGTCCCAGCTACTCGGGAGGCTGAGGCAGGAGAATTGCTTGAACCTGAAAGGCAGAGGTTGCAGTGAGCTGAGATCACCCCACTGCACTCCAGCCTGGGAGACAGAGCAAGACAAGACTGTCTTTAAAAAAAAAATGTAATCTGTAAGTATGGCACTAAAATAATTTGTCCTGTGGGGTTTACATTATTGACTTGAAAAGTGACAATTACATGAGTTGTTTAACTCCAAACAGCTACTGAAGCAAAGAATGAATAACAACTTTTACTGAATAGAAATCCAGAAATATTCAGATCCTATTTTAAAAATTTTGGATATACCCATAAATTACATTACCAACAGCCAAAAATATTAGAAGGAAATTATTATTATTAGGATTATTAACAACACAATTTAAAAGGACTCTACTACCAGGCTTTAAAAACTTAAAAATATATATATAAGAATGAAAAACACAATCTTAATATTTTCAGGACCCAGGATCTTCTGGAGTCAGGTAAATACAAAGATTATAAAAAAGGAAATTTCCTTGGAAATTGCTAGGGATAAATGTGTCAAGAGTAGTGTAAGGTAAAGATAACTTACAGCCAGATTCAGTAATGAAGGATTTGCTGGATCCACCTAGGCCAGGAATTTCCCTATGTAGGTAAAGAGGCCCCATCCAGATGGGGAAATTAATGCAAGTTGCATTAAAAATTGTCCAAAAACTTAACTCATCTCTATTGATGCAGATAGCAGCTTTTGAAAATAGCATTTTCAATGTTGTTACATGTTACACTGAGGCAATACTGCTACTTTTTAAATGTCAATATACCTCATCCAGAGAGCTGAAGCACTTTTACACAAATAAATATATTCATGCATGTGCTTTCTCTTCTTCACTCCATCATTCATTCATTCCCCAAATTAAGATAACATAAGCTGAGATTGACCTAGAGTCTAGACACTGCAACGTTTGGCTCCTCAGATCTGCAGTATCAGGAACACCTGAGAATTTGTTAGACATTAAATTTGTGGCTTCTATCTCAGATTTACTGAATCAGAAACTCTGAAAATCAGGACCAGTAATCTTTTTTCAGTAAGCCCTCCAGGTAATTCTGATGGTCTCTAAAATTTAGGAACCACTGCTTTAAATTCTCCATTATTGGCCGGGCGCAGTGGCTCACGCCTGTAATCCCAGCACGTTGGGAGGCCGAGGCGGGAGGATCACGAGGTCAGGAGATCGAGACCATCCTGGCTAACACGGTAAAGCCCCATCTCTACTAAAAATACAAAAAAAAATTAGCCGGGCATGGTGGCGGGCACCTGTAGTCCCAGCTACTTGGGAGGCTGAGGCAGGAGAATGGCGTGAACCCGGGAGGTGGAGCTTGCAGTGAGCCGAGATCGCGCCACTGCACTCCAGCCTGGGCGATAGAGACTCCATCTCAAAAAAATAAATAAATACATAAATACATTCTACACTACTTATGGTTTCATTCTTTATCATTGTGATTGCTCATTTGACAATTTCACTGTCAAAAAAAGAACATACTGTAAAAGTTTAAGAATATTCCAAATAAGGAAATAAAGTTCCTCACTAACACAATATTTAATTATCTTTAATGTTATTTAAATACAAAGCACGCTTGTAAAGATAGTCATAGGAGTTTTTATTTGATGTGTCTTCACATACTATGAGCCGGCATGCATAGATAGTATACAACTATCCATGATATTTTAGCATGAGTTTTAACAATACCAAACAGATAATAAATAATTGTTCAGTATGAACCTGTAACATACAATCTTCTAAAGTATATGATGTCAACACATTTTGTAATCTATTCTAATATAGTCCAAATATGGTTAAAAAACTTGCATATATCTACTTGGCAAAGTTTAATATTTATCTGGCCAACAGCTGCTAGCTGTTTAATTGCTTAAAATTAGGAAATTGGAAAGTGGTGTGACTATCTATTTAAGGCCAAATATTAATTAGGATCAAATAAATATAGTTCCTTAGATCTCTGTGGTATCTAATCTATATAAACACCTTGCAGTGATAACTCCAAAATCATTAAATGAAGGCCAGATAAAGTAGAGGAATTTGCATTATATGCCAAAATTAGCTTTCTACTAAATTTACTTTTTAAAATGATGGTGGCATAAAAACTCATCAATGAGACTTACGTTTTAAATCAAGCTTTCTCTCTTGTGCTCAAGCATGAACAAGCAATCACCATAAATGAAAGTAAAACAGTTATTGCAATTTACCTAAACATGTACGTTTTGAAGCTAAAGAATCATATTTAAAAGTTATAGAATTTTCTCCCCAAATATACTCTGAAACCTCATAAATATATCCTAAACTGGCTTTCTTCATTATCTCCACAGAAATTAAAGATGTAATTATTCTGCTAAAAAGCAAACAATTGAGGCTGCTCTCTAAAGATGAACTTTTCTTTCAAAAGAGAATGAACTCTTTCATGTCAATAGAGACTCACTTAGAAAATGGTGAATTGAAATGGGGAATCCTTTGATTTACAGGTCAGTAACATTGTCAATCAATTTGCAGAAGACTTTGAGTTTCAGGGGTGGGTGACCCCTCTGAAGAATATTTTGAGGGCATATTCAGGTTCTGGGTTACCTGCACAATTGTTCTGACTTTTTAAAAACTATACTTCCTGGTAAATGATGTAAAAAATGTGGCTGAGCTGGCAGTGATTCAGGCAATCATCTATGAGAAATTGATTCTCACTGAGCTTGGATAATGATCCCAGATTGTGAAACGAATGCAAAGTGAGGCTATTGTGTCACAGCAGAGAAGAAAATCAAGTTGTGTGATCCTTTAAGTGCCCTCAGTGGAATCCTGGCTAGATGAAGTCCAGATAAAATGCAAATGTATAATATGACCGTTTTCCTAAGAGAATATATTTTCACACTAATTACTATTTATTATCACTCCTTAAGGACATAGGTGATTAATATACCATTTCTGACTTTATTGCTTGGTAAAGAAGTTCACCTGGTACAGTGAAGTAGAAATAGGCCCAGACACAGGCCCCTCAGATACATAAAAGGACCATTATAAAATGAGGAAATATCAAAAGGCAGAAGACATTCCATGATGCAAAAACAATCTCTTAATAATCCTGGAATAAAAATTAATTTAGACATTTAAGCTCCCTTTTCCCACACCTGATTATAAAACAAATATATGTTTAGTCTAGAAAAACTAGAAGATGCTGGACAAGCAAACAGATGAAAATAAAGGGCACTTGCAATTCCACTTTCCAGAAATGACTGCTCTTACAAATTTCCTAAGAAGACATGCATAAAGGCTAAGAAGACCATACACAAGGCTTTGGAACCAGAAGTTTTTATATTTACACAAGAACTCAAAGCCTAACAGCTTTATATCTTATATTATTTCCCACATCACTTAAACAACACAAAAACAAACAAACAAAAAATCAGATGTGGCCACAGAAATTCTCTGGCCAGGGCCCTAGGAGTCAAAACCCAGGTCCAAGTTTCCAGTCTTCTGCTTACTTTGTGACTCTAGGCAAATGACTACGTCTCTTTATTTCTCCATTTGTAAAACAAAAGCTCAATCCACGTAGCTTTGTCCATTCATGCCATACACACTTCCTGAGCACACATGAGGTACTACATTCTGAACAAGGGAAGATGAGTGAGACATGCAACCTGTTATGCTGCTGCACTGCAACAAAGAGAGAGGGACAGGGACAGTGTATGAAAGCAAGGGATGTGCTCTGGCCTGCAGAAAAGAAGAGTCAGGAAAGAAGGCTTCACTTGAAGAAGGTGCATAGTCTGCTATTCAGGCAGGATTATAAACAGAATCGGAGAGACCTGCTTTTGAAAAGGCTGGTATAGCAGCAGGCAGGGGGAAGGTAATCATGAGGAATGAAACAGGATAGGTGGGCCAGCTCATTAAAGCCATTATATGCCAAGCTAAAGAGCCCTTTTTTTTTTTTCATTTGGCAGGTGATGGGGAGAATCATATAATTATATCTGTACTATTGAAAGATAATTGCGTGATGGACATAAACCTGTCAGAAGTCCTGAATATGACAGAAGATTTATCTGACTTTAAATAATAATTTTATTGAGCACTTTATATGCACCAGACACTATTCTAACTGCTTTGTATATACTTACACATGTAATCATTGCAGCACCTGCTGAGCTTGGTACTAACATTAGTTCTTTTTACAGGTGAAAAACTTTGGGACAAAAAAGATGACATGTAAGATGGAGCCCAGATTAGAAGGAAAGAGTAGGACTGTCTCTGGAGCTTGTATTCCCATCAGACAAACTAACAAAAGAATCCCCACTACAACCTGCTTCATTAAAATACATCCAAGTCCATAGTCTTTATCTCACTATGAACTCCCCAGAACTATGTGTGACAATGTTGATTAATCCTATCAACTTGAAGCTGTACCCCTCTTGGAGTAGGTAAAGCTCCTTTTCTCATACCCCTCTCTTTTGGACTCTTTTACTAGTCCCTTTTCCTTTCGTTTCCTAACTAGTGTGCTGATGTAAAATCATGCCTAACATCTCTTAAATGCAAAGAAGTCAACAGTTAAAATGTAAGCCATTGCCAATCAAACTATGGCATAAATCTTGTTATCCAGAATTTTCAATAGGGTAAGTGTATGGGAATTAATTCAGTGGGCCCCAAGAAGCTTGTCTCATCACATTCCTAATTTTCTGTCCAAAAGCAGGAAGAATGCGGTAGAGGCTGGAGCACAGTGATTTCTCCTTCACCTACAGATCTTAGGATAGCTGCTCCCTTTGCCTGGCACAATTTTTCACCCATGTTGATTTAACTCCTATTTATGCTTTATCTGAATCTAAAGTCGCTTTCTCTGGTAAGCCTTCCCTGAAACTCTTAGGCCAATTAGGGTTCCGTACCTTACATTAACACCATCTCCATGAGGTATTTACCATGCTTTAAAAAAAAAATCACGCTTAATCACTATTGTTTGCATACTTGTGATTACTTACACTCATCACTGCATCTCTGATGCCTAGTACAGTGTCTGGCTTACGCTGTACAATCCAATGAGTATTGATTAAACTAATAATATCCACACTTTAAATTTTCCTTTGTCAGTAAGTTTAAAATATCATTAAGGTAGAAGGCAAGCTAGGGAGTTGATGAGAAGTTTACTCCTTCATATTCTAACACAAGTTGACTGAACATAAAAATCTGAATGATATATGAGTATGTTATATGCATAAATACAACTGATCTTCAAGAACAAACTTTTAGGGTCTTGGAAAAGAAAAACTACATGTCATTTATTTATTTTTTTCAAAGTGCTGCAAATAGATCTTACTTCCTAGATATGCTAATGAAGTATGAAAGAATGGAAACTACAGAGTTTAGAGGTAATATATTTTGGCATATGCCAAGTTTTGGATTTGCTTTGGCACTGGTTCTAGGTGGCTCTGCCTTTGTTTCAATTTCCAGGTGGCAAAGCACTATAAAATGCAGCCTTCCCTGTTTTCCAATTCATTACGATTTTTAGCTACTTCTTATATGCTAAGCCTTGCTCTGAACTCACTCCACAGTGTTTATCTTTTGTATAATCTATTTGTTGCAAGAAGGATTTGGGATGATCCCCTGAAATTATGTTATTACTAGTCACAATTCCTCTCAGGCAAAATTATTTCTGTTCCCCATGAGACTGGAAATAAAGTAACAACTATCAAATATATATTGGGCTCCTACTATGTGTGAGTCTCTGCCTCAGACACATGGATAGTCAAAGTTTTGCCCTGGTAGAAGCTTATTTTTTCTGTTGCCCTCACACTGATTTAGTTACATTTACTTAGAAAGATATTCACAAACTACTATTGAGATAAAAGCAGGTACTACTATTGAGATAAAAGCAGTACATCTAGTAAGAGGCCATCAGAATTCAGGATGCATAATTAGGAAGTGTAAGGACAAATAAAAAGTAAAAGTAAGAGGCTTAATTCTCCCCATTGAAAACCAGGAAGACACTTTTCTCTCCACCCCCACCCCGTCCTTTTTTAAAGAGCATTTGCTTTAGAAAAGAGATCGTTGTAAATACTTTCTCCTTGTTTTGCAATGTATATCAATCCTTTTGAAAGCTAGATAGGCCCTTTGTCAGCTTTATGATCCAGGATGTTTTTCTCAAGGACCCGGGGGCCATCCTTATGAAATGCAAACATCGAGGAAGATGGTGCTCCACTCTCCCAATTTCTATGGGAAGGCAGGAGCTTAACTTCCATGAGCCTCTGGCTCCAACTTGTAAAGCTACCTCTTGTCTCAAAAATATGAAGTTTATTTTCCCTCTGGATGAAGCCAATAGGGTAACACAAATAGTCACTCCAATTACCAGTTAAAGTTTAGCTGAACCATGTGTGACAAAGTTGCTGCCAAGTCCTTCTACTTAAAGACAAGTTATTGTTTATCTTGAAAACATGCAATGGGTTGTACCTATTTGGCTATATGGGGGGGTGAGATTTCTTCCTATCTTCGCAATCTTTCAGTGATTGCCTATGATGTGTATTACATTCTGGTTTAATGCTTGTTTGATAATAAAACTGCTTTTTGTTGTTGTTGTTATTACATTTATGGAGAGGATTTCTGAGGTGGGAGATTTTGTTTTTAATTATATTTCCCCAACAGAAGACATTAAGAGTAGTTATCTCTGGAAGGTGAAATTATATAGATAAATAGATAGATATTAATAGATAGGTAGATAAATATATATAAACATATGAAATATGAAATATATGATACATACATGATTTTCTTAGATGAACACACTTTTATAATGATAAATAAAAAAGTGTTTTCCTTGTGGGAAAAAAATATCAGATTGGCACTTACAATACTTGTGAAGATAATGGCTCAGATCTCTACACTTTAAGGATCTCGGCATTAATGGAATCCGATCAGAAGGCATCTACCATCTTATCACACTAAGTCTCCTCAGCCTGTGTGTATATAGGCTCCTTTTTATTGGTCATCAGAAGTTATTCTACTAAATTAGGGAGCTGAATAGCATCCCCTAAGGGAATGAAGTTTAGCTTGCATGGACCAGAATCTGATTTTGTTGAAGGTTGCTGCTTCTTCCTCCAGACCATCAGTCTCCACCCTGACTCTGGGTGCCTGTTTAATTGGACTGAATGCCTGCACCACATGCACCTCGGCTGCTGAACCCCCAGCATCTTCCTCTTCTCATTTCTGCCTCTTTCAGAAGAGGAGCCCCACTATGGAGTTGCTGGGGCTCTGTTGTTTCCAGGACAAAGCATGTAGGCATTTGAGAAAGAGGAACACTCTGGGTGGGGAAGGCCCCAGGGGAGCCGCCAGGTGCATCACAATGAACTGGGAACCTGCTCCTCCTGGTGCCAGGCTCCACTCTGCCCTCAGTCTCTGCTGCCATATTTCTTCCTCAGTCCCCCAACTGTCTCCTGTCTCTCAGGGGCTCCTCCTTGCCTCTCCCTTGATTCTGGCTTCCAACAGGCCCACTGTCCTGAGGTTATCAAACACGGCTCTTCTGGTCTGGACCCTACCTCTCAATAGGGTTCAAGTTTCCCTCTCTTCCAAAGAAACTTGTGCAATTGTGCAATTGCACAATTATGCAATTGAAGAATGAATACGTGCAGCTGTTGTAAGCATACCAGAATATTCTGTGGTAGTTAGAAGCTCTATAACAGTCTATAACAGTTTGGATGCTGGTGTAGTAAGGGCCACAGACGATCTCCAAGATCCTCTGCATCCAGCCAAGAGAAGGCCCAGCTCTGGTTCAGTCAAGCGGTTATCTCATCTGAACAAAACACTATGTGGCTTAAGCAGAAAAAGGTATGAGACAAAGTGGTAAATGTAGGAAGGCATGTTTGCTCGTTTCTGTTTGCCACTGTAATTTCACAAGCTCCTGACTCTGCGACAATGTGCAACTCTCTGGAGGGAGGCTTTGAAGACAAAAGAGGATACAGCACAAAGCCCCCACGTCTCTTGCCTAAGTCACTGTATTCCCTAGAAGACAAATGACCCCAATCTTTGCCTTTTCTTACAGATAAGATAACATCTGATGGGGTTAGTGTTTATGCTTCTGTAATCTATAACCAATGTACTTTAGTCATCTGTAGTTAGATAGACTCTCACACCCAAACCTCGATGTGTTTCTACTTTAACGTAACTTTTGAGTGAATCTGATGTGATTTTGCACATACTGAACCTCCACAACCTGTGTAAAAGCCGTGGCTGCAACAGTGTGCAGCAGCAGTGCTCCCGGCTATAGGCCTCAGTCTATAGTCCTCAGTCAGGCTTCGGAATAAAACTAACTTTAATTCTTTAATAGTTTGATATTTTTATTCTTTAGTTGTCACATGGTATTCACAGATAACAGGATAAACAGCCATATACACATTCCTCCTAAGGGATAAAGGAAATAAAATCCCTAAGTCAAAATGTGTCTCACTATATTTCAAAATAATTTTTGTGATTCTGTGCCTCAGTCATTAAAATATGCTTCACTTAATAAAAATTTGTCTGAATAATAGAAATGATTTTTCTATCTTTTTGCTCCTTGATAATGATTTTTTATCTTTTTGCTCCTTGAAAATTCTTGGTTTAAAGAGTCAGAATTACCATACAGAAAACAAAGGAAATTGAAACTAAATAAGCCTTCCACTAGGCCCTTACTGATGCATGAAATTGGAGGGCAACACAGGTCAACATAAAATTATTATAATGGCATTTTGCCTAAAAGTGTAACACATTTAAGTGAATTTTGTGTGACAATGCAAACTGCAGCCTAGACTTAGATTTCTTTTAATTAGCCATGTAATTTTCTCTTCCCTTTTTCTTTTATGAAATGTGTCTATTTCACGAACTAGAGCCCTACTGAGTAAAGAACACAGAGAGTAGGCTCTGCGAGGTGGCTCATACCTGTAATCCCAGCACTTGGGGAGGCTGAGGTGGGCAGATCACGAGGTCAGGAGATTGAGACCATCCTGGCTAACACGGTGAAACCCCATCTCTACTAAAAATACAAAAAATTAGCCGGGATGTGGTGGCGGGCGCCTGTAGTCCCAGCTACTCAGGAGGCTGAGGCAGGAGAATCACTTGAACCTGGGAGGCGGAGATTGCAGCAGCAAGCCGAGATTGCGCCACTGCACTCCAGCCTGGGCGACTGAGTGAGACACTCCTTCTCAAAACAAACAAACAAACAAACAAACAAACAAACAAAAAAAACCCCAAAAAACAAAAACAAAAACAAACGAACAAACGAACAAACAAAAACCACAGAGATTGAAGTAAAGGAGGCCCAGCAAGGGGAAGAAGCACAATGCGTCCTACACAAAGCCCAGACAGTTCCAGCTCAGACAGAAGAAGAAGGGGCCAAGTTTCCTCATTCTGAGCTGCTAGGACTTGCCCATCCCATTGAAGCTTCTACTAGATGCTACCAGCAATGATACTTGTGAAGCTGGACTCAGGAAAGAATCTATGCAATTTTAACTTTTTTTTTAATAGGGGAGACACATTAGCATTTAGTTTTACTAGCAGAGAAAATAAACAATGATTATCTAATTGCGATGCTATTCTGTAGCCACATCTTAATTTTTTTAAGTCCATACTACATAAGAGTTGCGACCAAATAAAATTGTTAAGCATATTTATTTATCTTTTGATCAACAAACACACATTGTATATATTTATTGTATACACATGTGGTTGTGAAATATGGATACACGGTGGAATGACTAAATTGAGCTAATTCAAATATACGTTACCTCACATCCTTATCTGTTTTGTGTGTGTGTGGTGAGAACACCTAAAATCTACTCTTAGCAATTTTCATGAATAGAGTCAATACACATAGGTTCTGAGTTTCAGATCACTTAACTGAACCCTGTTCAGCCTCCACAACGAGGCTTGCTTTAGTCACCATTATCTAGCATAGAAAAAGTTTGACCAGAATATAAATCTTAGCTAAACTTTAAAAAAAATCTACAGATGATAGGAAATATCTGTCTATAATATCCATTCAAGCAAATCAACCACTTCTAAATCCTCTTGTGAGATTATCGGATGGGCCCAGGCTTGTTCAATCTGTTTGGGATCAAGTTAAGACACTGTTCAATAATAATTACTTGGATTCATAATGTACTTGCTCAAAGAGCTTTTCTGCAACAATGTGAAGCATCTATTTGATCTGCACACAATTAAGTTGGGCATTATTAAGAAGTATTTTACAAACGGGAAAATCGAAATGCAGAGCTTTTTTTTTTTTTTTTTTTTTTTTTGAGACGGAGTCTCGCTTTGTTGCCCAGGCTAGAGTGCAGTGGCGCGATCTCGGCTCACTGCAAGCTCGAAATGCAGAGCTCTTAAGCAGCCTAGTCAGTCTGTAGGTTAATGATGATCAGAAAACCTGCACTGAGCACTGTCCATGCTCTTGTTAGGGTCTGTGATATCCTCTCACTGAGATTCAGCCAAGCAGAGGCCCTACATTTTGACAGGTGACTACACGAAGCTACGGTTCTTGTCCAACTACCTTTGCCCTTCTTGCTAAAATTAATTCACGTTAAGTTGAAAATATTTTGTGTCAACATATTTGTCAAAAATTATTTTTTCCTCCAGTATGAATAGTATACAGTGAGAAGTGAAGCTCCTGCCTCCTATGGTTTCATCCACATCTAGAGACTCACTCTCCAGGGGTAACCATGGTCAACAGGGTAGAGTATATATCATTCCAGCCTTTCATCTATGTCCATATAAATACATATTTTTTAACAGAAATGAGATAATTCTATAGTTAGAGTTCTGGAACTCTCTTTTCTACTGCTCAATTGGAAATTAGAAAGGAACAGTCTGTTTATATAAGAAGTGGTGAATCAAAGAGGAAAATATAATATGTTAAAAGGATATTCTAGATTATAGAAGTTAAAGAAAGGCCAAAAATCCGTCATTATTCTACATGGATTCAAATTTTCTTTCTGAGTAAAATTTGGCTTACTTTCTCCTGGGCCAAAAGAAATAAAACACTAAACCAAAAATAAAAGCCAAACACCAAACTATACTATACACAACCTTAAATTATGGCCTTTTTGTTTTCTATAAGTAGCATTTTCTACATACAGTTATCAAAATGGAAAGACTATTTAGACAGGATATTCTATTTACAGAAATAGAATCAATTCGATATTTAAAGACTCTCTCATTCTAGCATATCCAGCGAGGTATAACAGACTTGTGTGTGACCAGAACAGCCATACTTTCTTATTTGAATCGAATGCATTCTTTAACTAAAATTTTAAAGGTGTTAAGGTTTTAAGAATACCTGAGAACATATCAATATAAAATTTTCAATTTCAAGCTGCTTTAAAGATTGGTGAAAAAGAAATAATATAATATTTTTAAAGTCCAGAAAATAAAGATTATATTTCTGTCGTACTACTTCTAAGAATAAAGCAGTTAAAGTACTCCCATTTCTGATGATCTTATCATTGCTTGAGGTTGCAATCAAAGATCTAACAACTCGAAAAGAAGATTTTTAACATCTCCTAGGATAATCTTGGGCTATGTGTTCATGAGATTAAAAAAAATAAAATGACTTCACTTTATCTTTTTTTTTTTTTTTCACTGAACTGTCTTTGTTTAGGAATTGTCATAGAAAACTTAAGGTTACTAGGAAGAGTGACATTTATTTTCTGAAACCCTTAAATGAAATGAAGTTGTTACAGAAAGAGTCAGATTCTTAGTGCTGACATTCCCAGATTTACAATTCACTCTTTCATCACAAAGTGACAAGCAAGCCTTGCTCAACCTCCTATATTAACTTTTAAAAATGGGACTGTCAACTGTATTTACCAACCCTGTCATTTCTTAGCATAATTGTAGCATACATCCTGAATAGAAAGTTTTTCTTAACCTATGCATAAAACACAACTAAAAGAGTATTACCTCTCCTCCCTTTCTCCACCCATCTGGTAGCCAGCGGGGATTTACATTGTTACTTCATATATCATAATTGTGTAATTTTTTTCATAATTACTTTAGCTCAAGTGATTGCATTTAAATAATGTTTGATGTGTAATGTAATATTTCTAAATGGCTTATTAGTTCTTTTACAGACAAGCCTTATAATGTACTTAGTAATTTTTATTAATAGAATCCTATATGTTCAGACACTCAAGGGCAAGCCATTTCTTCCGTGATTGCCACTAATTTGATAAATTTAAATGATGAGACAATATGGGAAGGAATACAAACATACAGCTCAACAAGATAAACTGTTAAGGTGAAACTAGAACTGAATGTGGTCAAGTCCAATTTCCTCAAGCCATTCACAAAATTAGTTACATTTAAGAATGATAAGACTAACATTTCATTATTTTCATACAGTTATTTCAAGCAGTTAGCATAGTCGTTCATTTTCTAAATGGAAAAATAGCATAGAAATTAAAAAATACTACCAAACTTTAAATATTTGTATTAAAAATAAAAAGTGATAATTCACTTTATAGTGAATAATCCACGTTAAAGGTTTGGTTTTAATGTAATTTGCTTGGGTGAAATACATTTATTTGGATAAAGAATTTCATTTATTTGTTTTCTCTTTGATAGTCTAGTAATTCAGACAAAATAATTATGTCATCTCAGTTTTGAGCTAAACGAAGGGTTGTAAAATGTACTCATCTTTAGTTTCTTCCTAGGATCCTCAAATATTCTAGGAATAATTTTCCAAACCAATGGGAAGCACTAATATAAATAAAGCAATTCACTCTTTAAAAAACTTTGGTAAGCTTCCATCCTCACCCTGACTCTGGAACATCCCTTTTTGAGATCTGCCACCCCACCCCCCTACAACAAATACCACGCTTTAATGAGTCTATCCCTTTGATCACTAGACTTTCCTGAAAGAAGCTAAAGCCAATAGGCCTTAGGTTATGAGCAAGATGATTCAACTTGATTTTAAAGCAAAGAACTACACATTGTTTCTTCAAAGACCCATCTGTCAAAGCCTAGCCACTCTATAGGTGCTGTGTCTATACTCAGCCCATTAAAAGGAGCAGCTCTGTGGTTGCCTCCTAAGATAATAAGATATTGCACAATGGTATGTGCTGTTGCTATCATATCTGCTGAAACCCTGGTAAAACTGTTGTCTTCTCCTGACCTTATGAGGCACACCCAAGATGCATAGGGTCCCTGGGCTGCTGGGAAACACACACCACCATCACTCCATTAGTCAACATACATCCACCCTTGCTTGGAGCTGAGAACTATAATTTTCTTATTCCCTAGGCAGTAGGTCCTCTGTTTTCTAACTCTGGGTTTAGGGAGAGTGGAGGGTGCATTAAAGTTTGTTTTTCATTTTACTCATACATACTTGGTAAATATCTGAGTTCTCTGTTTGAAAATTGATTGGTTAGAGGAAAATAACCTCCTTCTAGTTTCACTTCTGAAACTAGAAAGTTAGCTGTTGACAAAACTAAACCAGGCTGACTTTTATTCTGTGATAACATCTCTATGTATCACGTTTTTAAAGCAGTTATATATTACTCTTAATGGAGCAAACATTATCTTAAAAACAACACAATAGTGAATTTTTAAAAGATGGCTTGTGATATTCTTAGGAATTAAAAATAAAAATATAAACATAAAAGGCCCAAACATGTAGAACTTTAATACTCATAAAGAACCTCTTGGGGAAAAGCTTATCCTGGAAGTAGCATTCCGAAACCACAACTAGCAATATTTAAATGAATCATTTAAAAAGATGTCCTGCATTAAATATTGCCCAGATGGTGACACTGGCAGATATTTTCCAGGAAAACTAAGGATTTCACCTTGTAATGTCATCTTCCATGGTTAGGGATGCACTCTAAGCATTCTTAGTCCCTCCTGACATGTTTCTCATAATTATTAGGGGCATTAAAAAACAGTCATGATTTTTATAAAATACTAGGATTTCTCTTTCGTAGGAAAAGAAGACAAAATGAGTTACAATTGTCAGATGTAAAGTTATAAAGTATATAAAATTATAAAGTTTTTTAAAAGACAATACTACATTATTTAATAAACATATACCCAATTGGTAGTACATACAAAAACATAATAGAAAAATTTGTAGGTAATCAGGGAAATACAAATTAAAATTTAGACTCCATTTTTGACTAATCAAATTGACTAGATTTTTAGAGTCAGTGTTAGTGAAAATGTGGGGAAATAGATAATTTTAACACAATTTTCTGAAATTAATTTGAACATATCTGTTAATATTATAAATAGGTAGGCCCTTTGGTCCAACAACCTTTTTGATTAAACTTCATGTTTTCTGAAAAAAGAAATTCCTCAAGTAAATAGAGTTTGCTGATGTTTATTAAATTGGGTATAATTTGTTTACATAGAAAAATAAAAAAGAAAATTCCATTTAATTCAAAATGGAGTCAAATTATGAATAATTTTTGCTTTTATGTATTTTTTAGGATTTAAAATATCAAAAGTAGTATTTTATAGATGTATGGGTCCTTATTATAAATGAGTAAATTAATAGTAGGTCTTTCTGTACAATATTACAGAGGTCTACCTCATACCCATCTGCAGAGTACTCCACAGTCGAGATGTGCCTTAATTTGTTCACTCTTCCTGCTCTGATAAACATCTTGATTGTTTTCCAGGTTCTAATTTAACTTATTGCACTGAAGAGGTATAGTGCAAATGGCTAATAAAAAATTAAAATCATGACTTCAGTGGTAATAAAAAAAAAGCAAATTAAAGTAACAAAACATGATTTTTAAAAATCTGTTGAATTCATAAAGATTTTCAATATGACAATCATCAATCTTGGGTAGTATACAGTGGGGTAGTCATTTATATGACAGATGAGTGTAACCCATCTAGGAAGCATTTAGGCAGTGTGCATCACAAATCTATTTATTTATTTATTTATTTATTTATTTATTTTTTATTTTTATTTTTTTTTTGAGATGGAGTCTTGCTCTGTCACCCAGGCTGGAGTGCAGTGGCGTGATCTCGGCTCACTGCAACCTCCGCCTCCTGGGTTCAAGCAATTCTCCTGCCTCAGCCTCCTAAGTAGCTGGGATTAGAAGCATGCGCCAACATGCCTGGCTAATTTTTTTGTATTTTTAGTAGAGATGGGTTTTCACCATGTTGGCCAGGCTGATCTCGAACTCCTGACCTTGTGATCTACCCACCTCAGCCTCCCAAAGTGCTGGGATTACAGGCTTGAGCCACCACACCTGGCTTGAAAGTTTTTTTTTTTTTTTTCCTACTCGGTAATTGCATATCAATAATTCTATAGCACAGAAGTAATAAAAATAAAAACACATCTATCTGTCAATTCATCTGTCATTGCTTATAGAAGCTTAAATATACAAAAATAAGGAAGTGGTTACATAATAAAAAAATTATTCAATGGATTAGTAAGCAGATTAACTATCATGATCAGCAGGAATATTAAAATGAGGAAATAAATATAATTTTAAGAGTAAACTGCATGCATAACTCTATAAATAAAATATATAAATTTTGGATAATAAAAACTGTCTAAAAGGACTATAGCAGTTTTTTAAGTGGCTATTCCTGAGGGAAATAAAATAATGATTTTATGTTTTTCTTTGTACTTGAACCTATTTCTAAATTTTCTACAATGAATATTTACTACTTTTAAAATAGCAATTAAAAAGAAGAAAGAAAATACATCCTTATCTACAAAATTCAGCATGCTTCTGCACTTCATCTATTAAGTAAAATTGGCCAGGCTCATGGTAAAGCCCTTGTAATCTGACTTTATCTTATCAACCCAAGTTTACTGCTAATGAGTACCCAACTCTAATGCTCAACTCCATCCCACATGGTTACTAGGCATGTCATGGTTCACCCAAATTCCACTCATATTCTTCCACTCAGGGCTAGAACTTTCTCTCCCAGAGTTTCTGCTGATGATTTTTGGTTGTAACTATTTCAAGCCAACTTCAGATGTTCATAATGTTCTAGGCAAAGTCTAGTAATGTGACAAAATCATTTTTTACTCTAACACCAATAAATTAACAACAGTAATTCAGAAGAATGCCCCTTCTGAGAGCAAGAATCCCATCAATATTTGTTAAATGAACAAAAATAATCATTAGCATGATCATAACAACTCCAGCAGCTAACATTTGTTGAGAGCTTTCTGTTTAGAAGCAGGCTCTGTGACAAGTGCTTCACACTTTATTTATCTCATTTAATGCTCAGAACAGCCCCCCATTTCACCGTTGAAAAAAACAGAGCCCCAGGTTATGTTATTTCTTGAAGGTATATAGACAGCTTGGGCCTGAGCTTCAAATACAGTTTGGGTGGATGTCAATAAGCCCTACATTACCAAATTTGTTTATGGAAAGCCCATAAGATATCGTTTTATATTTTATATATCTATTAATTAATCTAACTATCCATTTAGCTAAGTTGACATGATGTGTTGTGCTACAAAGCTTCCTTTTATATATAAAAATAGATACAAAACAATAAAAGTTTCTGCTAAATCTCATTATATAAGTAATATGTTTACCTGTATAGGACCAGCCAATCTCTTCAACAAGTTTTCTCTGTTGTCTGTAGTATCCATTAGCCCAATCTATAAAAAAGAAAAACCAAGTAATCAGTATGTAGAAAAATATATGTCCAAAAATAAAAGATGCCCAAATTATTCATACCATAAATAGTTCTTGATTACTCCTTTCCATGTCATCTTCTCAATGTGTTCTCTCAACCTCAACCACCACCATTATATTATACACTCCAATGCCCTAGTTCTGGTAGCTAGTGCAAATTTTAGAGGGTGTGTTTAAAGGATGCTGACATTCAGGCAGAAACAAAGTACATATTTAGGTAATGAAAGAGCAGCTTAGAGGGGTTCAGCCCCAAAGAGGGACTGGAGTCAGAAAGGACAGCTTGTCATGCCTCCAAATTTTTGTTACCATTCCCTAAGTCTAATGCCTGAAATCTTATTAATTAAAGATACCTTTATGTTTACAATCCAAGTTTTATCTGAAAATGCTTCTAGTGTACCCAGAGTTTATCACGCTTTCAAAATTTGCTTCCTTCCTAATGCAAAACAAAATTAGCTGCGGTCAGAAAGTAGAATTTAAATGTTCATATGTTGTTTCGGAGAAATGTTACGTCAGATAGCGTGAGTGAATTTGTCACTTGGAGGAACAGAGATGCTTGAGTTAGGTAATGCAATGGGAAACTTAGGGCCATAAAAATAGTCAATGCCCCATGACCCAGAGAGAGTCTCTAGATCTAGAACATGGGGCAAGGGATAGACAAAAGAAGATGGGTGAAAACCAGTCTCACTCTGCATAATTCAAAATTTTGCCAGGAGCCATGCCTGCTTCCAATAAATGGGAGTGTTCAGATTCATTCTCCTCCTTCCTGTATGATTGTCCCTTAATCCCTGACTGTACTAACATTAATACTTCATTTCAGCTACACTGTGGGTAAAATAAATCTTTGCAGGATAGGTTTGGAACCTGATTGCGGATGGCAGAACTGTTTCTGTAGAGAAAGCTACAAATAGCTAGTTTACAAATGTACTTGTAGAACATTATTCATTCATACATTGGCACTCTGTTTATATAGTATGAAATTACTTCTTATTCTCTTTATACATTTGTTTTCTCTATTGGATGCAAATATCTCAAGGACATTTCAGAATTTATTTTTCTTTCTTTCATGTTATATACTATCTGATTATTACAACATGGTAATAAGTTACTATTTTATAAAAACTAAAAGGCAGGCCAGCTATCAGAAATGCACACTTAAAATTCACAGGTTATCCAAAGCCAAAACGTACTTTGGAAAAATAAAGGTTTTGGTTGTGTTTAAATTTGTAAAAATCTATATATTAAGTAAATATTCTATTGGCTATATAAGACATTTCAACATAAATCTATATTTTACAATAGTTTTATTAAAATATAATCTACGTATCACACAATTCATCCATTAAAGTGTACAAGTCAATGGCTTTTAGAATATTTACGAAGTTTTGTAATCATTCCTGCAAACAATTTTAGAACATTTTCATCACTCTAAAAAGAAATTCCATACCCTTAGCTGCCACCCCACACCCACGCCCATCCCCCAGCCCTAGGAAAACACTAATATTTTTGACTATATAGATTTGACTATTCTAGACATTTCCATATAAACAGAATGATACAATACATGGCCTTTTGCGACCACCTTCTTTCACGTCACATAATGCTTTTGAGGTTTATACATGGCATAGCATGTATCAATACATCATCCTCCTTCACTGTCCAAGAATATTCTATCATATGGTGACCAGGACAGCCTGAAAGTTCCCCTTGGTTTGACTAAACTTTAGAAAGGGTTGTTCTTGACCATAGGCCCTTGATTTCCCTTTATTATAGAATTTACTTTAAGAATATTGTAATTGTAATCCTTTTTTTTTTTTTTGACAGAATCTTGCTCTGTAGCCCAGGCTGGAGTGCAATGGCATGATCTCAGCTCACTGCAACCTCCACCTCTCCGGTTCAAGCGATTCTTCTGCCTCAGCCTCCTGAGTAACTGCGATTACAGGCGCATGCCACCACGCCTGGCTAATTTTTTTGAATTTTTAGTAGAGACGGGGTTTCACTATGTTGGTCAGGCTGGTCTCGAACTCCAGACCTCGTGATCCGCCCGCCTTGGCCTCCCAAAGTGCTGGAATTACAGGCGTGAGCCACTGTGCCCGGCTTGTAATTCTTTCTCTACTCCTGTGAGGCGTAAATCTTTTTAGTAGCCACTTGGTAACTTTATAATCCAGAAATGTACCTCTCAAGGACCTGGGAACTACCTCTTTGAAAAGTAATCAACAAGAGAGACAGCACCTTTATCTTCCAGTTTAGGTGGGAGGGTAGGAGCCTAACTTCAGTGGGGCACCTTGCTCCAAGTTGTAAAAGCTACTTCTTGTCATAAAGATATGAATTTATTTAGATTTATTTAGATAAACTTAAATTTATTTAGATAAACTCATATCTTTATGACAAGAGGTAGTTTAGATAAAGCCAATCAGCAAATACAGATAGCTTATGGCCCTGAATGTCCTGCAGTTCTTTTCCACAAGCTCACTCCAGCACTTAAAAACCTGACCCAGTTTGCTTCATGTGTGTTGAGTTCAGACTCGGATCCAGCTTCTCTCCCCTACTGCAACAGCCTTGAGTAAAGTATTTCCTTCCTGTTTAACTTTGGTGCAATTTTTGTTTTGACAATTGAATATACCATATTTTATTCATCCATTCATCAAGTAATAGACACTTGTGTTGTTTCTAATTTTTGGCTATTATGAACAATGCTGTTATGAATATTCATACATTTTTGTTTCACTTTCTACTTACAAATGAAATCTTAGGCTCACAATTTATTTTTCAAATATGGTTGTTCCATAAAATGCTAGTTATTTAAGACTAAACTGATTTAAGTTAAATTCCGGGGTTAAGAGTTTCTTTATTACAAATGAATATATACAACTGGATATTAGAAAGGGCCATAAAAGGTTACTGACTGAGACTTAACAGTCTAGAAAAAAGTAATTCTTATTTTAGAGATAAGAAGATTTATGCCAAAAAACATAAGTGGTTTGTACAGGCAGCAAGTGATAAAAAATGGAAACCATAATGCGGGGTCCCTGCCTTCCACTTCATTTATCCTCCCTCAATATCAACGATTCCTAAGAATCCTGAGCTACTGGTTACTCTCCTAAGGTGCTCCGCCTCAGCAGGAGCCTCTATAGCATGCTTGCCTTCAAGAGACACAAAATAGTGCAAAACAATAGAGCGGGCTACAGATTCATTAGCAGGAATTACTTGGACAAATAAATTATAAAGAATTGACTATATACGTGATTTAACCTGGCAATCAATTGAAATTTTCTCTGAAACTGCACTGGCCATAGGAAGAAGATTCCTTGACATTTTATATACATTTTAAATATGAATATTTTAGAAATGTAAGACATTTTTGTTATGCATTGTGGTGACTTCAGGAGATCAGATACCATGCAAAACCTGTATTTAACAAGCATTTTATTGAAATAAATAAAAAAGTAAGCTCTTGTTTTAATGATTCCTTCTAAAGGATAACAGCAAAACATCAGCAGAATTTTAGCTTTCCTTGTAGAGTTTTATCCCTACACAATGAACATTTATCCTTGGTTTTTAATTACTTACATTAAGAAAGCTTTTTCAATACAAGATTCCCAGGTGTTGGTAGCTCTCTTCAGTTCCTTTATGTATTGTTCCCTTAATTGTTACTTCAAACAATCCGTTACACATTCATATGCTAATTACATAGTGCTTGGGCGTGAGAGAGTACCCCACTTTAAAAATTCTACTTAGAGGTCTGATAGATGAGATGTGATAGCTCCAATGAACAAGAAAAAAAGAAGCTGGGTTCACTTTTTTGTTGCATTATATACTTTGAAAACCAGGAAATCCTATATAAAAAAGAATCTATCAAAGTGCTTACGCATTTTAGGATCCATTAAAATAATGAAATATAGAATTTTTTTTCTGTTTCTGTGGATTTCAGTTTCTTTGTAGTTTTTATATTTTGTTTCTTTCCATTTAAAATCTTTGACAAGGCGGTTATGGTGTGACTATTTTGTAGTGATAAAACTAAGAAATTTCAGGAAGTGATTGTTCACATGATATACAAGAAAATACATATTAGCAAATCTTTTTTAAGGTTACCTTAAAATTTGTCCCAAAAATATTCTTCATGAAGTAGCTTTCTAACCTCCTAACTAAATTGAGAGGAATTTGGTTTATATTATTTCAGATAACCTAAACATTCTCCTTTCAACCCATTCCACCTTGAACTTACCTCAAGCACTTACAAATATGCAAACAGGTATGTATACAAGCATATATAAAAATACATATATTTATTTAGTATATGTATTATAAAGACATATTTCTTCATTTCTGTTTACACTTATGTAAAGGAAATCAAAGTTTTGTTTTCCTTGATAACTCCCTATCAAGGAAACCAATTTTTCTCAAAATTTTTACCACCCCCCCACCAAGTTAAAATCAGGGTGCTGATTTTCTACTAAAAAAAATCATTATAAATATTTTGAATTCTAAAAATGCTTCTGATTGTGGTCTTACCCTAAAGAAAGTCTCTGTTTCATATTGATTAACAATTTATCAACTGCATTCTACTAAAAATTCTAGCAGCAGTGCTCTGACAAAATACACACACAAACACATACACACGTTATTGCCATAAGTGGCCAAAATATTACTGTAATAGGGAGAAATACAGTGCTCCTAAGAAAAATAACTTTCAGATAGAAAATAACCACAGATCTAAGTTTGAATTCTAGGATTCCATATCTCTTAAAGTGAATTTGTTCAAGGTAGATGATACTTCTTGCATATTTCACGTCCTTTAAAGAAGTTACTAAAGAATATCCGAGGACATAAAAAGGAGATCAGTTGATAGCAGAAGTCTAGAAATGTGGCAAAGAAATGATAGAATTAGAGATGAACCATTAAAGACCTTGAAGAAGACTGACAAAGAAGAGACCTGAGAAAAGGGACTGAATGTTCCAGGTAGAAGAAAAGGCATGAGGATCAAGAGGTGAGAAATCACAGAACTCAAGATTTGACAGTCCAGGGAGCGCTCATGTAGGATCTTCATAGATCACTAGGAACTTATTTTTGGTGACAGATCACTATCCATCTTCACACTTTTAACTTTCATCCTACTCTCTCTTCTTACCTAGATTTCTTTTAAAAGTGAGGAGGTAGTCTACTGAGTTGACTGAATGGCATTGAATGTATTTCATATGTTGCATATATTTTGAGGAAAAATTTCAAAGAAGAGTATGAAATAATCCAAAAAATATTTTAACTGAAATGAAAGGGTTGGATGTGTGCTTGTGAAGAAATATAGGTAGTTTGTGAAGGCTTGAAGAAGGACTTAGAACCCTCTGGAGATAGTATACTGTCATCAGAGTGGTTATCATCCACCAAAGAATTTGAAGCAAGACATGCTTAAGACTGAAGTGGCATTGATAAACAACGGTTGATAGTGACAGCAGTCACAATCATCTGTCACTGGAAACAAAATAAGTCTTTTCTCTGAGAATAAAATAAAAAATAGGAATTCCTTTAAGAAAAGAATCAACTTTTTTTTTTGAGGCGGAGTCCCGCTCTGTCACCCAGGCTGGAATGCAGTGGCATGATCTTGGCTTACTGCAACCTCTGCACCTCACCCCACGCCTACGCCCTGGGTTCAAGCAATCCTTCTGCCTCAGCCTCCCGAGTAGCTGGGATTACAGGCATGCACTACCATGCCCAGCTAATTTTTTTATTTTTAGTAGAGACAGGGTTTCACCATGTTGGCCAGGCTGGTCTCGAATATCTGACCTCAAGTGATCTGCCCGCCTTGGCATCCCAAAATGTTGGGATTACAGGCATGAGCCACCGTGCCCAGCCAGAATCAACTTTTGATTAAAGAACACCTATGAACACATCACCTGGTTATTAAATACTTTGTATCTTCAGATGTTCTATTTTTGTTGTCTTTCTCCATTTGATAAGAAAGCTGAGTTTATGACCCAAATGATCTAACCCAAAACCTTGATTTGCTAAGACAAACTTTCCAAGTAAAATTAAATTTGCCCACGAGTACAGAGTCTACAAAATTATACATGGCAAATTTTCTCTGTGGATCTTCCTGTCATTCAATGTTAAGGATTGGCTTGCTGTGAAGTTAAATTATCATACAGCCTATCTTTACCCATCTGGAATTTAAACTTTTATTCAGTATACATGCAACGACATTTATGAAACCTAATTTAGCTAATTATGGTAATTCAGATAGTATGGTTTGTTTAGGCTATAATACTAGCTCAAACATTGCACTTACTGTTAACCACTTCAGGTGTAACCAAAAGACCTAAAAAATACCACTTTTTATAGTATATATATCAAGCCATTTGTTTTCCAATTTCAACTACCTTCCAGTGTTAGGAAGCAGAGTTTTGGTTTCCTCCTCTCTTCAAAGGCTTCAAAATAAAAGTACTTTTGAATGTCTCAAAACTTAAATAGAAACTTTATGCAAAATAAGAGGATATTTTAATTCATATCATTAAAAAGAGGTAATTCTGGAAAAATATGAGTTATAAGAGTCCAGGTAACCTCTTTATTTAAGAATAAGTTTAAAGAGATAAAAAGTAGATGCCTGAGGCACTATATAATCAAAATGGTAAAATCATTCAAGGAGATGGAAAGTTTGAACATAAGGATAATGGAAAAGAACAAAGGGAGTCATTTCTTACATATGCTTATTTTGGTAGTGAGACATCCAATTAAATGCATATGTCTCACAGGACCAAGGAGAGTCTCAAAGGTGAGCAATTAGATTTTATGTTTCTTAGACACTGGACATGCTTTCAGAGAGAGAATTTCTATGTTGGTAATTTGTTTACTATTCAAACTTTTCAATGAAAGCTCAAAATATTCACAGGCTAATCTTGATAAGTAGTTAGTATATTTTCCTATACTTAGATGCATTTAAGCTAATGTAATTTATCTATCTTTCTAAAGTTGAGTTATTTTTTGTTAAAACATATTAATAATTTTGATCTTTATGACATAATAATGCATGCCTATTTCAAATAAATTAGAAAAAATACAGGTAGGCAAAAATACTTTAAAAATCACTTGTAATCCTATGCCCTACAAATAACTGCTATTAACAGTTTTGCCCATGCATGTATGTTTCTCTAGATGTTATATATTTATATATAATAAATTTGGACTTTACTTAAATTCAATGACACTGTTTGGTAACCTATTTCTTTACATGATAATGAATCACTGACATATTCTCAATTTAATAAATATTATTTTACAGCATCATAACAGTTCACTTAAAGCATTCTCTACTTTTTGGGTGCTAAAATTAAAAGTTGACAATGTCAGAAGATTTATTTCTTGAGCTTAAACGATATGCATGAGGATAGCTTCTATTAAACTAGCTTTACTTGAGCTTCAGGTATAAAATAAAATCTGTGGATGAAGTACCACATTTTTTTCCTGTCAACCTTCTATAATTTCAACAAAACACTAAGCACAAACTCATTGTTATTGTACTACAATCATTATAGTTACCTAGTTTTATGTCTATAACAGTGAATTTGTTCCATCATAAGAGAAAAACCCAATGTTGACTGCTCAGTGATAATAGGAACAGAGACAAAAATATCAACGTATATACAAATAACAATTAAAGGAACGAGCTAAAAATAATATTAGAAGTGAGAAGAAAACCCAATCTGTGTAAGAAAAAGTATATAAAAGGGAGTAGCAAACACAATTCATCAAATGACAAAAATAATGTGTTATTATATTTATGTATTATGTTATTATATGCTACTAACTTATCTTACCATAATAGTATTATTTAGCAATGATAAGATTGCTGTTTTGAAATCTTATGCCCACGTACTTTCACTGAAAGCTGACGCAGAGCAAGAACATCTGCTGTGCCCCTTTCTGATTGGGGTCACTCAGGAAGTTCTGGACAACTGGCACACTCAAATAACCAATTAGAGGATACAATGGGATTCCATTCACATTTACCGTGAAAAGCACAAAACACCAAGCAAGTTCATAAAGGAACAAAGATATGAACTATTTTTAATATAAAAGAAAATGTGAATAAATGAAGAGATCTACTACATTCTTCAATGGAAACAGTGAATTTGGGGAAGTTGTGATTTTTTTTTCCATATTAATGAATAGGTCAAATCTCACTGGGATGTTTCTAACTGGAGAATTTTTTTGAAAATTTATATAGAATAATAAATGGAGAGTAAAAATTGACTAGAACATTTAGAAGAAGTGTGAATTAATAAAGGCTTGGTTAATCAATTACTAAAAAAATGAATTGATAGACAGATCAATAGAAAAAAGCAAACAGCACTAACATAGAACCTACTATAGATGCAAATTTAATATATGTTAAAGGAAACATCACAATTAGATAAGGAAAAGTATGAAGGTTCAAAGGTTGGGAACACTATTTGTGAAAAAAATTAAATTGTACTTGACACATACATAAAAATAAATTACAAGTGGAATAAAGAATGTTTTTAAAAAGATGCATAAAAACTATTTACAAAGTGAACATTAAATTAATCATAAGATGGGGGATGCATTTCTATGTATGAAGAAAAGGATATTATGAAGAAACATTTATAGCTTTGATTATATAGCATTTAAAACTTGTATAGAGAAATGTATAATGAAATACAAATTGTAAAATTAAGCTATTGATAAATGTTAAAATACATTAAACAAATATTACAATATATTCCACACATACAAAATTATCACAAATCAATAAGGGCAAAATATGAGCACAGAAGTTTTAAGAATGCAAATACAATTAATAAATTTATAAAGAACTGTGAGACTTTACTGGTGTCAAAGAAACAGAAACTAAAATAATGTGAAGATAGCAGTTTTCCAGCTAACCAGTTGTCAAAGGTTTATTATTACTTTTTAAATATTCAATGATGATCCAGAAATCTTGATATGTTTCTTTATATACAGGTAGAAGAATGAACTACTATAAACTTTCTGGGAAGTGAGTTGACAAGGGTTATCAAGATCCTTAAAACTCTTCATATCTTGGACACAATAATTCTATTCCAAAGAACATATTTTAAAAGATTAACAGAGATTAACATGATGTACCAAGATGTTTACAACATTGAAAAAATGTTGAATAACTATAAAATATGTTAATATACAAAAAGTGGGGAAGTTTAAATAAATTATATAAGGTTCCTAATATGAAATGACGTGAAGCCATTATAAGTATATTTTCAAATATATTTATTGATTTTTTTTGAAATATACATGATATAAAATATCAACAGTTATGATACTATTTTATAAATAGTACATATATACAGAAATGTAAATTTATGTGGTGCCATTGGGAGTGATTTTTATTTTTTCATATGTTTTCAGGTTTTCCAAATATTTGATGAGTTTTTGTTAAATATTCAAAAAATTTAAAGTGTCTATGCACTTTAAAGAATGTCTGAAAGAATGTATCTGATTCTACAACTAGATAAATTAAAGATAGATTGTAAATATGTTTTAAGACTGTAAAGAAACATTTGAAATCCATTTTAAAATCTTCTTCCAAGAGACTGCATGATAGATGCAGCATTAACAGCATTTTAAAGTTAAGCTTATGAAATAATAGCCAAGTTGACACATAGTAGGCAAGTTAAGTACTTCAGCTACCAAGATAATGAAAAACAAGAACCATAGCAAAACAGGAAACGCAACAAACTCACAGATCATCTTATTGGCCATGATGATCAGATGCACTGGGTCTGCATTTTGTGGGTAAACCTTGAAATAGTCTTATTTTAATTTTTATCTTATTTCTAAAACAGCACATTTTGCTTAGATAAAATTAAACCCAAATGTCACTGTCTATCCATTAAGCAGGACAATCTGGCAGCTTTATGTGTTAACAACCTGTTCTAAAATAGGTGCGGGTCATGTTAAGTTGCTGTCAGGATGCTGACTGATTCACTGTGCACTTATGTCTGGACAAGGCAGAGTTTCTTGACTCCTTTCCCAGTATATTGACTGAAAATTCATTTTTGGCATGAATTCCTTTTTTTTTTTTTTTTAGCCGGTCTAGAAATAAGAAACCTTTATTCCCAAGAAGCACATTTACTATAATAAATTGATAATTTTTCAATGGATCTTCAATGATTTAAGACATTTTCAATTTGCCAGTATCTTTTATAAGCCACTTGCTATTGCTCATTAAAACTACTTAAGCTTGGGCAATATTACAAAAAGAAACCAGGATGAGCAAGGGAGATCTGACTAATTTTAACTATAAACACATATTTTTTTATGCCTCTTTTCACTTTATTTTTAAGATCGGAATCTTACATTCTGCCTTTAAGTGATGACCTTGGACAAGTCACATCTCTTTGCTTGTATTTCCACAATTTAAAAATAGGGATATATATTTTTACTGTAAGTAAACTCCTGTTTACTTACAATAATACCGTAACAAGAGATAGGGCATGTGTAAAACCATTTTGAACTCTTTGTAAAAAATGTGCTTATAACGACAATTATCATTTCCTGAATTTTATTTTTCAGGCATTTGGGTTTTTTCTTTCAATAGTGAAGCAATTTCGTTTTAAATGCAACAGCAATGTGACATTTATCTAATGTGCCCTGCATGTTTTTTTGGTCATAAATTATTCACTTGTTTTCTGATGCTATCTGATTCTTAGTCTGAAGTGCTCTTTAGTTTTAAGGGTAAGTATGGACACTCACTGCACATTGAAAATACAAATCCTGATATTCAAGGGTGAACCATTTCCCCACTAGCAATTTAAAAAAATTAAACACTTTGATGACATCTCTAATTAGTAGGCTTTTCATTGTTAACGAGCACCTAGCTATATTCATCACTGATTTTGCTCATAACTGTACAAAAAAGATTACATCTACTGCTTTATCGGTACATAAAAATCTTTCATTGCCAGTAGACTATGAAGTGATAATTACTAGTTATCATTTTATTTCCTTGTATTGTACAGTTTATTTGAAGTGAGCGGAAACTGTGCAAATCCTATTGTCTCAATTAGTACAGCTTAAGTACGGTCTAGCTGGCTAGCAGAATCATTTTAGTGGCTTCACATTCCTCTGCTGGATACTTTTAGTCCCCATCTCATGCCTCTACTCTTTGCCTAACATCTCACTTGTACTTTCTTTTCTTTCTCAATTTAATAGTTGCATTCTCCATGGAACTTGGGGCCTCCACAATGCCCATTCTGTGAATCCCCAAAGTGAGGCCTTAAGGAGAGGGGATTCACTTCAACCACCAATCACAACATGCTTATCTTCAAGTCTTGTAATTGGTGACCTATCTTGACCAATGACAGCACTGGGTCTTACTGGGCCACTGCTGCAACAGCATTTCCCAAATTTTGCCTGAAATTTGAATGTACTCTGCAGTGGCAGATGCTCAAAGATGCTCATTAGGTAGCCTAGATTACACAGGTTTATTGCACTCAGAGGAACAACATTTAAAAAGCATTCCTGTTCAGTACATAATTAATAGTCTTGGAGAATACATCCCATTAGTTACTTTTTATACACAATTACAAATTCTTGGCCAGGGGTTAGATATTATTTATTTTGGAATAGTTAACTCATTTGGAACAAACATGTTTTCTCTCCAGGTTTACTGTTCTGTTTGTGAGGATGTCAAGAGACTGAACAAGTTAATGTAGTGTTTTTGGCCAGGACTCTGCTGGCATTTTGCCCTGGACTTACTAGGCCACTGGGACACCTAGAGATAATTAACATACTCCTGCACTGTCTAATGTGATAATGGTAACGGTTAAATAAAAATGAACTTTTTTTTTTTTTTTTTTGAGATGGAGTCCCACTCTGTCGCCAGTCAGGAGTGCAGTGGCACGATCTCGGCTCACTGCAACCTCCGGCTCCCAGGTTCAAGTGATTCTCCTGCCTCGGATTTCCAAGTAGCTGGGATTATAGGCGCACACCATGACGCCCAGTTAATTTTTGTATTTTTAGTAGAGACGGGGTTTTACCATGTTGGCCAGGATGGTCTCAATCTCTTGACTTCATGATCTGCCCGCCTCGGCCTCCCAAAGTGCTGGGATTACAGGCATGAGCCACTGCGCCTGGCCAAAAAAGAGCATCTTAAAACAGACCACAGGTAGCATTATTGCACATCAAAGGAGCTAGCTCTGTGGGCAAGTCAATGTTTCTCTCTAAGTCTAGGAAAAAGAAAAAAATGTTTTTATGAAAGGATTTACACCTTGGAATTTACATATCATAGAACACAAAGACAAAGATATTGAAATGTAACCTGTTTTCCTTAATAGATTTTTTAGCATCTAAGTGATCATATCTTTCTGAAGTTTATACTTCTGCCATTAATTTCATTAATGGCAAATATTATTTTGACAGAAGATGTTTATCTGATAAGCTATTATAGATCTAGCCAAGGATACACTGATTTAACCTTGGAAATAAGATCACATAATATGCATTTTGTGTTCAAGCGGATCACAAACCAGAGTATAATGCCTAAAGTTCTTTAATATGTCATTCAAGTTCATTGGTAAATTAAGAAAATAGTGACTGCTGAAATACAATTTATTTTAAACTACCTTGTTTTTTAACTTCAGAAATGGCTTGCAGAAACTGTCATCTCCTGCCATTTTAAATGATATGCACCTCTAACTAACTTAAATGTCTTGCTTCACATACTATTTAAATGAAATGAATGTTTCTTGTGAGGATAAAATTCCCAGAAGCCTCTCCGGTCTCAGAGCAAGGGGCATTAGTAGGCAAAGAAGTTCTGCATTTCCCAAGAGGACCTCCACCAGACCCCTTGAGGCTATGCACTCACTTCCTACCTGAACCTCCCAAATAATACAGTAGCTGGAGAATGTGCTGTTCCCTCCTGATCAGGGAGTGTCTGGTGATTTGGGATGGTGATCCATTCCAAGGAATCATGATAATACCATCAGCCTGACACAGCTTTCTCATCTCACACAAAGCTCCTGTCATTCAGAAGTATGTGTGCAGTATACGGCGGTGCTCTAGTGGGTCTTGATTAGCAGGGAGAAAGACTACCCCCATCTCCCTGACACATCCAAAAAGAATTGATGCAGTTTTCTAAGCCCTTCATGTAATTTTGCCCTCGTTTCCAGTCCCCCAAATTACTTACGGGAAACTTAGCAGTAATTGTAGACGTAACAAGAAAACCTTGGAAACTTTTCACATGTAATGTCAGCATGGTGCCTGGCACATGAGTGAATAAATGAAAGTTACACATCTCACATCATGTTCAGTTCTGTAGTTAGGAGAGGTATAGGTAGAGCAAGTATCCAGTAAAAACCCTCAAGAAGAAAAGGCATTGAGGATATTATTTCACGGTCCTCAACAATCCCATTATGTTGTTACTTTAACTACATTTTTTACAATTTTGGTCTTTAAAATACCATGGACCACCAAGGATATTTCAACAAAATAAGATTAATAGATGATTTATGATTTTAATGAACTTGATTCTTTAAATTCAAGGCACGTCCCAAGGATTTTTCACAAAAACAATTGATCCTTTTCATGGCTTAATGCCACTGTAACTTCCTCCACACAGCTAGCGGATTGCCATGGACACACACTCGGACGCCTTTCATTCTCTCCAGGTCTCCAGAAGTTTACGTTTGAGGACAAAAAGAAAGAGCAGAGGAACCTTTTCTATACATAAAGCTTACTTGGGACCTTAAACAATATGCACCTTTGTAATACAAATTATTACCAGAAATTTATAGTATGCTAAAACGTTACTTCTACACCACTTAAAAAAAGAAGTAATGTTTTAAAAATCCAGAAAATATCAAGTAATCATAAACCAGTGATTTAAGACAGTGGTAAACACCTATGATTTCACAGAGGTGTAGCAACCCACAGCTAAAAACAGAAATGTCTGGTTTCTGTTTCTTTCTTTTACATATTTATTTAGAGACAGGGTTTCACCATGTTGCCCAGGCTGCTCTTGAACTCCTGGGTTCAAGGGATCTGCTCGCCTCGGCCTCCAAAAGTGCTGGGATCAGAGGCATGAGCCACCACACCAGGCCAGGTTTCTGTTTCTTTTAAATAGGTGCTATACACAGAGATAAAAAGGATAAGGTATGCAATTAAAAAATGAATACAGACTGTGTAGCTGGATAATTCTAGGCAGAGTTCCAGTTTTTTTCCCGGGAATTAGGTTAGACGGTTTTTGTCTGAACTTTATTAATGATTTTCTGAATTCTTTACTTAATATATATGTGTGAATAAGTTGAGAATTCTTTTGGTTGAACATTAAATAATTTGAAATTTCACTCAATCTTATTCTATTTTACTGACAATACTCAATGGAAAAGAAATGAGAGAAAACTTTCCCCCATACCTGCTAAGGTAAGATAATTTTTTAAATCTTTTCATAAAAAACCCCAAGATAAACTTCCATATTGTGGACCGTCTCTGTGTCAATTTGTAATATTTATAAAACTAGCCAGGTTAAATGCAGTGTCATTTTATCAACTACCTATTTGCTGAATAAACCAATTAATTCAATGACTATAAACACACAAGAAGGGCCAAATTAATAAAACATCCAGATATTTTATTTATTCCATGCACCTTGCTGGTGCTACAGATGAAAACTTTCTGAGGTCACTTCCCCTAATGCAAAGCTTCTCAAACTATTTCATATTATGGCTCAGTTAGAAAGTGATAATGTTCTTTGTGCCTTGGAATAACACATAAGAGCTGAGCGGATGAATATTTGACACACGTGTAATTCACGAGTGGCACCAGAGCACACTGAGTGGGAAGCCTTGCCTCCCTCAAGCACCTGGTCTCAGGGCCTTTGCTCAGCCATTTCTCCAACTGGGTATCTCTACTTTCTCCTTTCTCTGCCTCCTCACCCAATCCCAAGCCTTCTCATGCATCATATGGTATCTTAATACCATTTCTTTAACTTTTACGGTCTTTCTCACAATTATAATTGAGTAATAATTTTTTAATATTTGTTTACTGTGTCATGAAGGCATGAACTGCTTAAGAATTCAAAATGTGCCTATCTTGCTCCCTGCTGCATATTCAACACCTAACCTAGGCAAACGTGCTCTGTAAATATTCATTACATGAATAAATGACAAATTTAGGATTTATAATCTTAGAGGAATGTTCCCTGACACCCATAATTCATTTACCCGTCTCTGTTCCCCAACCTTTTTCAGATCAGTGACTGCTAAATCCTTCCTTTTATGATCAGGAGCAGACTGAACATTCTGTTCTCACCAAGAAAACAGAAAACGGGAAATTTTGCAAGTTCCCTCCTCTTCACCTTTTAACTAAGTTCTATTTTCATCATCGTCTTTCTCATTGTATCTCATAGAGACAGATGCCACCACTCTTTTCCCATCCTCCTACCTTCTCCAGGATTTTCTGGACTTCAATCTCTCCTTCACTGAACTGTTCTTTTAAGCCCCTGTAACATACTTAAGCACTGCTACCCTAAAAATTCCCCTTCCCTTAGTCTCACCCGCTTCTTTACCAAATGCACTAAGCATCTATATTTCCATGCATTTTTCAAATGGTAGCTGTCATATTTCAATGAACATACACCTGTATGTCTCTCTTCTGCCTATGGATTACTTTAAGAGCAGAAACTAGTACACTCTTCGATCCTCTACATCATAGTATCAGACACAGAGTAAGTGCTCATGAATATTTAACACAATGAATAAAAAGAGATTCCTGGATACAGAATGAGTACAAACCAGTGCTAAACACGTTATCAACTTCATAACCATCTCTTATATTGTTTCCCATACTTGACTGCTATCAAAGAACAGTGGATAGGGACACTATATTGATAATGAAATGTAAGCTTTGCCTTGTTATAATTTTCATATAAAATGGTTGCAGTTAACAATAAATATATGAACTTTATTTCTAATTCCCTCTAGGATTTACTGGGCTTTCTTGAATTTATCTAATACTTCCTGCTGTTCAATTACGGACATCTTCAACTACACATTAGTCCCTTATGGATAAAAGAATCTTAGTTTCATACACTGGAAAATGCTTCATCATAATTTTTTATTTCAAATATAACAAGGAAACAGACACTTCTGTTTTCAAAACAGGTCTACTTTTATTAGAAACTCATTAACAGAACTTAAATTTTTCCCCGTTAAGTTCTTACACTGAAATAAATGTAATGACTGACCTTTAGTTATCTAGGTGCCTGTAATATTGAATAGCTTATTGAGATATTGAATAGCTTAATAAAGTGAAATGTATTTCATATGAACATATTTCATATATATGTGTATAAAATTAAAGTTTCCAAAATATAATGCATTTTCTTATATGATATGTGATAGATCATATGACAGATGTAATGCTTTTACAACCATACCTTCCTATCTCCCATCTAAGTTTCAGAAAAGGAAGAGGCTCTGAAAGGATAAGAAAAGGAAAGAAGATAAGATAAGGAAAGGATAAGAGAAGGAAGAAGTTAAGAATCAGAGACAGTGGCAAGGTTGCTGTTCATATTTGCTAAAGATGTGCATCAGAATTAGACATGAAAAGTTATTTTAAATGTACGCAATCTAGAAACATTTATATGGAAGAAAACCACAATATACACGTAACTAGTTATGACTACTGAGACAAGAAAAAAGGACTTTATTTCACAAAAATGGCCAGTTACAGTGCAATCAGATTACTCTGTCATCAGTATTTTCAAATATACAGTCAAAATGAAGATATGGATTTTTAAATTATGCGAAAGCTTAAATCCATGCAGGTCATAACTGTGCATATAATTATTAAGAAATATAATTTATTTTCAAATCAAACTTTATAAATGTTAGTGAAATTGGTTTCCATAAAATTATAAATAAGAATAGAATACTATGTTTTTAATAGAAGAAAGCACTATTAAATAAGTACAATATTAAACCTTTCATTACTCTTAGGTATGAGCTTTTATAGTTCAAAGCACAAAAATCCTCGTATTTGTAACTTACAGGCAAGCTAAACTGTAAAACTTGTAGGAAAACTCTACAAAAGCTTTTATTGTTGTCATTAGCTAAGTTATTGTATCATTCTTATTTTTATTCGATGTCTAGAACTTCTGTGGCTTTAAATAGCATTTAATAATTTAACTTTATTTTCCATGACTATGAATGCCATTCACTTCTAATAACATATACTAGAATCTTGACATTCCTTATTTTCAGGTATTTCCTGCTTATAAAACAGATGAAACATTGGTTTTAGAAATAATCATATTTTTCATTATAATGCCAAATTTATGTTCAAGCCTATTTCAAATTCATTCACTTCTCTCCATTTATCGTGCCTCTACCCAAACTCAAACCACCACCATCTTATGAAATAATGCATTTGCCTCCTAACTTGTGTCCCTTGTTTTGTCCCACCTTCTCTTTTTTCTTCCCTTCCTTTTTTAGTCTTTTCTTTCTTCATTTAGTTAATTGATACCTTCAACTAATATATACTGATTACATACTGTATGCCAAGCACCATTTAATAGCTTACTGAAATACTGAATAGCTCATTAAAATAAAAAGTGTTCCATATATATGTTTCATATATATATATAGGCACTTGAGATGCACTGGTGGACCCCCCAGCCATCCAAACCACAAACATGTTGTCCTTGTGTAGTTCACATTGTAGCAAGGGGAGATAGAAAGTTAACAAAAACCATAATAAATGACTTAATCATGCAGTATTTAAGAAGGTGATAAACACTATGGAGAAAAGCATTAGAGCGGAATAAGGCAGATGCATGAGCAGGTGCAATTTTAGACTGAGTGGTCAAGGGGAACCTTGCTGAGAAGTGACATTCAAGCAAAGCCTTGAAAGAGATCAGCGAAGAAGTCTGCAGACACCTGAGGGAAGAGCAGTGCTGGCACAGGCGCAGAGTTCCTAAGACAAGACCAAGCCCCATGTGTTGGAAAAACAGCAAAAAGGCCAGAATGGCTGAAGCTGAGAGCAGGCAGGGGAGATTACCAGGAAATGAGCTTCAAAAGATGAAGACAGCCTCTTCCATTCTTTTCTACATTGCAAACTGTCAAGAGTTATCACAGTATTTTTTGCCCTTTTAAAAATATTTACTTTTTTGTTAGACATGCATGTAGTTTAAAACTTCAAGGACTACTGCCAGACTCATAATGGAAAGCAGCTGTACCCTGCTTCATTTCACTCCACCTCTCCAGTCCAGTGTCCCACAGGTCACATTTTCAATTCTTTCAGCTATCTCTTCTGTAATTTAACTCCATATTTTCAGATAACATACTCTTATTGTAATTTTTGACTTCTAAATTTTAGATACTATATATTACCTTTTTACTTTCATGTATAAGTATTTATGCTAACTTAAATAGTTCTATTCTCTCCAAACCTAGAGTATAAATATCATATTTTAGAGGTATTCAACGTTATCATTATGTAAATATTCATGACTGTTGAGCAAAGTAGTGTATTATGATTATACTTTCTACTCGACTTTTTCTTGCAGTTAATTAAGGTCTTTTAAATTTGATTATTTTCTCAGGACCAATTGCTAATTTTCTCCAAATCTGTAAAACACTTCTAGATTTTCAAAACACATATGGATTAATATATTGTCTGATGCAGTCAATGAATAAGTAATATAGAATTTCCACTTTCCTCCCCGAAATCCTCTCATTCCAGTTGGACTGGAACTCGTTCCAGTTGGACTGAGGGCAGCAGGCTCTGCCTAGCTTGTGTGCTCAGGTCATTTTGATTGCTGTTTCACTGGCTGCAACTCTGGTTTCCTGAATCCCATGAATCCCCTTTATTGGTTTATTCCCTTATTTTGGTGAGCACTGGAGCATATACTCCAGCAGCTTCTGAAAAAAGAGTCACAAGATAAAAGTTTTTAGATTGTCTTGTTCTATCTTCACAATTCTAGGCTAAAAATAACTTTGTCCTCCAGTTTTTTAAGGCATGTATTGTGTTGTGCCATTATACTCTAATTTTAAGTTTAATTTGAAGGTAGAAGAGAGCAAGCAAATTGATTCCAAAATTACATTAGCACATATATCTAATACATCGAATAATCAGAAATAATCCAAAATGTGACAATACTAAAGTCTAACATGTCTGCTAAATATTCTGCAAATCCTAAATGAATTCCCATGAGATATTCAGGCACCAATGAATATTCAATAAAAAATTCCACACTATATATTTTATATATATTTCCATATACAAAACTATATTTGGACTTTCCCATTCCTTATCCAAGAGTATCTCACATTTATCCCAGAAAGATGAGTAGCACTATTAATAAAGTGTCATTAGTAATGTTATTCTAGCCTGAAATGTACTTATTGAAAACATTTTTAGATTAAAATTATTCAATAACCCATTTTGAATAGCAATTTATTCAAGTTTTTAATTTTTAAAAGCTGCTTACTTGAAGTATGGTTACTTGTAATTAAAGGGTAATGGAAATAAAGAGAACATTACAGACGTAAAAGATACCATTCTAGAGGAGAGGACCTGTAAGACTGGAGTATGAACATCTGAAACCCCATTAGAAAGGCTAGGTAAAAAACAAATCTTATGCAGAAACTAAAATATAACACAAACAAAAAGGAATATAAAAGTTGGATACATTAGTATTCTTAAAAGAAAGAGAAAAAATAGGATAAAATTAAGAAATACAGATGATGTATAGTTGATATTCTTTTCCAAAGGGATTGATCTACACATTTTATAAAATCTGCTACTTACAATGCATATAGCTGCTACAGGAGTGGTGGAACTAGAAAGATATGGAGTTGACAACAGGTGACCTGTTGTATAACCTGACCATATAAGGTAACTATGTGGTCAGGTTATAGTTAACTAACCATCACTAATACATTTCACTGGCACCTTGAAGAGAAATTATTCTACAGACAAATGATTAACCCTTCTTAATATAAAACATGGTATCCTCTTCCTCTATATTTATTTGGCAACACTTGACACATTTGGTTAGAGCTTAGTATGTTCAAAATTAAAATCATTGGTTCAATTTTCACATCAGCCAAACAACTTCTTCCATTCTCTACTCAGAGTCTGAATATCTAAATTTGATTATTATTTTGCAGTTGGATAGCTATATTTGCAAGTGTATCAGTTTAAGCTAAGAGCATATAGCCTTCAAATGGTGGCTAAGTTTTATTTTCATTTGAAAAAATAGTAACTTTTAGAAATAATCAAGGTAATTCAGAATCTCATTAAATTACACATTTGAAAAAGAAAGGTGTTTGATATTTTTAATTAGCTTTTATTAATTTTATTTGTGAAGTTTATTTATTTGTGAAACTTATACATGGAAAAGCTAATGTAGATATAAAATAAATTAGATCCTAAATATATTAATTTACATAATTTCAAAACACCCTGAGTTTAGGCCTTTCCAAAGATTTTAACGTATAAATATAAATACTCTAAACCTTGAAAAAATTGAGGATATTTTCTAATCATTTAAAATATTCTCTTAATCCTATGATTAAATGAAACCATATGAAAATTTAGATGGATACTGAAATCACTCTTTAATATATGGTCCTGGACTATCAGCAAATAATAAATGGTAAAAAGCATTAGTATATACATATGTCCTAAAAAAATGTGTCTTATGGTTTTCACTTGTAAAATATTTGTTCCTAGTTGTTCAACCACATATAATTAGGTAAAATAAATGTCTTGGAATTATTTGCCACATTTAATTCATTTTGAACATAAGTAAGTTATTTATTAGGGTGTGTAGTTCTTCAGGAAAACTAACATGGATTTTAACAAATGTGCCAATCAGTTTATTTTCTAGACTTGTCACTACATATTTAATAAAAGCAGCATAATATTACTCCAGTTATTCAATTAATGTGATATTTGTAAGCAAAAAACATAATTTAACTTATTCTTTTTATCATGCATTAGTCACATTATTAATTATTGATGAAATTGAACTCTATGAATAGTGTTTATTTTGATAATAACAAATAGAGATAAAATATTCACACATAAGAGACTTGTTTTTAATTCCAATATCACATTGTAGAATTAAAACCGAGGAATCTTGTTCTGTGAAAAATCTATCTGCAAACATAATATATAAGTATACCATTACATCACTGTCATCTTTAAAATGTAATAACTTACTATTCCATATGTGTACTGAATACAACTCAAGTTTATTTCACAAAATTATGGATCATAAACTTCATTTTAAAAATAGTGTGAGCAAAACCTGACCATTTATTATTTTAATTGATACTAGGAAACGAAGAATAAGCAAGCCACTGTCCACATGATGTCAAGCCAGTGAATGTCTTTAACATCTTTGACGTGTAGTCAGAACCCACTGCCCTTTCCCAAGCCCCATCCAAGACATAACCTTGAAATTAAGGGAAAAACCCAAGCCCCTTCAAACAAATCTTATTTTTGGAAAACGTGGTGCCAGCCAGACACCTACCAAACAATGCCAAGCTTCAACTTAATTATATTTCTTATGAAGCTTAATTGCAACTATGGAAGCCTACCTTAAGACATTGGTTCTAAAATACTGAACCGTATCTCAAATTGATACAATCAAACAAAATTTATAACATTTGATGAAAAATTTCTTTCATTTAGCCTTTAGTACATTAGTAAGAAGGCAATTAATATAGTTTTATTTTAACTACTACTACCAAACATAAAATAACCATGTTGTATATCAGAGAGTGAGCAATACACACCCACATGCCTCCTTAAATCTAAAATTTATATTTTGAACACAAAAGTTCATAAGGCAGGAAATATTCCAGACATAATCTTTCATCCTTGATACAGTCTTTAGTCAACCAGAGATCCTGTGCTTTTGGAATAATTGCTTCCTTTAAATGGAGGTAGAGACCTTTTAAAACTGTTACCACTAGGCTAAGTTCTAAGACCAGAGATTCCTGTATAAAATTAAGTTCTCCAGTTTCCTAGAAAAAAAGTACCACTGAAACATTACAGGGAAGGTAAGAGTATTACCATATACACAGAAAACCACAGCTTTTATTTGAGAAGCAATCTCTCATGCAGTCAAGGTTTTTTTGCCCTTTGTTTAGTGGAGGCAGTTGAAATAGAAATAAACCTACTTGTACTCACTATCATCAGTGCCTCTTGTAAATTATGCCAAAAACCCAGGAAAGGGATACCAACAGGGTGATTGAGCAAAACTGTAAAAGAAAGAGCAAGTGGTAAAATGACCAGGTGATCTATCAAAAAAATGCTTCCAGATTTACTTGCGGCCCAACCATACAGAAAAGATACTGTATTTTTACAGCAGGTCTAAATTTGAATTTATATCACAGACCCTTCTTTTTCTTTCACCTTTAAAGCACAGATGCCCACCATTTGTGTGTGTGTGTGTGTGTGTGTGTGTAAAGAATAGAACCCAGAATTCGGCCGGGTGCAGAAATCACTGTTAAGTGTTACATGTACTTCAGATTAACTTTCAACAAAATCTTAGATTTGAATCTCCCTATAGATGTCAATTTCCACTTGTTGCAGATATTTTAGATCTTTCTGAATGATTCTCATGCTCATGCTCCAATTTCATATCTGCATGGCCTTGTTGAAGCTGAAGTGGGAAACTGGGGACAAGACCCTTTACCAAAGCATTGTGTGAAGCAGCTGTCCTTGATGACTCTCCTCGTCTCCTTTGTCCACGACTCTTCTCATAAGGCCTAGGGAGAGGTGTGAGGGATGCTGGGGTAAAAGTTGACAGTAGTAGGATCTGTTCTTTTAGTAAGACCTGGAAAAGGTGCTACCTTTTACTATGGTTGGTGGTTTGCTATAAAACATGGAATTCTTAGACATCATTGTGTTCTCCCAAGGACCAATAGCAGTGATTCCAAGGCAAGAGAAAAAGTCTTCCTCAACATCCTGCTATGGAATCAAATTATCTATAGTTTCTTTGGCAAAATAAATATGAAAGCATATACGAAGGTTCAAATCAGTGAAAGAGCACAAGTGTTTTAAAAGCAGACGTAAATCTACATAATTATAGTTCATTTACAATATCTTTAACTAAACAACTTTCGTAGACAGCAAAAACGTAATTACTTTAAATCTACCAAACTCAAGTTAAAGACCCAGCTTTAATTCTTAGGTTCATGTAAAAGCTAAAAGATTGTAGATTACCTAATATCATTATTTTTCTAGGTAGCTGAACAAAATTGTGCTTGCATTTATTAAAGTAGAGCTGACATGAAAGGTTATGTTTTCTATGCTAAGTCAAGTTCTCCTTATTTTTTGGAACCAAACAATAAAACTCTGGAAACTACAGAAGTAACAACAGAAGTTATTATTTAAATTCTAGAAACCCCGGAATCTATCCTTTCAAATCTTACTAAATAAGACCATCTGAGTCTCTTCTGATTATAAGGTCCATAACATTTTTATAAATAAGGAATTAAAGTACATTTCCTGCTTCATGAATATGGCAAAAAATGTTGAGATTACTTACTGTGTTAAAACAAAAAAGATCAAAAATTAAAAACTCAAAATAATTGTTATAGTAATTATGATCATTTAAGAACATGAAACCAGAACAGGAAGATTCTGGTCCACAAGGTGAATATCTTTGGGGGCCTATGTCTGCTTTCTTTGAGTGAGGCTGTGAGCACCCCCACTGCACAGCTCCCTGATATGGGAGGCCTGGTTCCAGGCTGCCATCTGCGATCCATCTTAGTCCTCCTCACCAGTGATGTGCCCTTCACTGTCTTCCTTCTGGGGTGTCCTTGATTGGCAGCCAGCCTCCTGAGTGAGATACTTGAAAAACGGCTCAATCTCCCTTGTCTCCCCATTCTGTTTTCCCCTACTTGGAGGAACTGGAGGTGCATGCACTCTTGCTAAGCACATGTCCAACCAACCAGAATGGGAAATTATTTGGAGATCTATCAGGGAAGGTTTCAATACTTACTTATTTCACAGACTAACACAGAAAAAAAGTAACTTATATTCAAAGGCAGTCTTCCACTGTAATTTGAACTTTTTGTTCAAATTTTATTATCGTCTAAACACCTACTATTGTGTGTGTGTGTGTGTGTGTGTGTGTGTGTGTGAGATTTAAAGACTGGAACAGAATCCTGCATACATTTCAGATTAACTTTTAGCAAATCACTGAATTTAATTTATTCTGCTATTTTGTTCATTCATGCTTTCATTTGATATTTAGAGAATGTATACTATGTGCCATATCTTTCTTCATTTCTCAACCAAAAAATGAGCAACAATAAGAGGCTTACTAGGATTAACTCTCTTCTTCTTGCTTTAGGACTCGAGCTAAGGGATGAGTAAAAGGTGAAGTTTGAATTGACCTGGAGATTAATCTTTTAGAAAGAAATGGACTTTTAAAAACCAAAGTGAGCCGAAAGCACAAAGAATGCCATTGCAGGATAGAAAAGTAGAATTCACCCTAGCCTGGTTGGATACAATGGCTGGGTAAAAAATAAAAATCTTCATATTTATATTCCATTGATTTGATGTGCCTTAATGCTTAAAATTTCATTCAAAAGTTAGCAACAGAACCCTGGCTTTTCTTTCAATTTGTTTGATAAACTAATAATTTTGAACAATTCAAAGTGGAAAAATCTAGTGCTTTACCAACAGTAGAAGCCTGCAATAAAATGCATCTCTCCCATTTTTTCATTGTACAAATAATGAACATGACAACAGCTTTTTAAGTGAATAAATGATACTGTAGTTGATACAGTCTAACTAGAGAATTTCTAGCAAATTCATACCTGCCAGAAAAAAATATGCATTTTTATCAAATGAGATAAATTCATTTTAAAAATCACAATGTTACATGGTACCTAACTATAATAACACAGTTGCCCAACCTTAATTAAGTGATGCTATCATAATTGGTATTGCTCTAGTACTAAGTGCAACAGCAGTATTCTATGCAAGCAACGGACTGGACAGTCTTGTTCTCCTCTATATTCCCAGCAGTCAGCCCAGTGCATGACATGTAAATGTTCCATATTAAACAAATATATAGAACTTTCAAAATAGGAAATTTGTGGTAGACAGCTGTTATCTCTGTTTATTTTTTTTTTCTTTCTCCTACATCAAAAAGTAAATCTGCTGATTTTTCAACATTACACTGCATGGCTATGGAATCTTGAAGAAATACAGAAAGCAGTATTATAAGGTTTTGCTTCATTGTAGGCATGAAGGCAGATATTATCAATAAACATTGATCAATAAACTAAACAAAGAAATTAATACACTATCTTCTTGACACTGGATTGTAATAGGTAAAAGAAAGTTCAGGAACTCAAACAACTCAGCAGTAAAAATAATAGTAATAATAATCATTTGATTAAAAAACAGACAAAGATCTGAATAGATATTTCTCAAAAGAAGACATACAAATGGCAGATAGGTAAGTGAAAAAAATGCTAACATGACTACTTATCAGAGAAATACAAATCAAAACCACAATGAGATTTCATCTCATCTCAGTTAGGATGGCTATTATCAAAAAGACAAAAAATAACAAATGCTGGTGAGGATATAAAGAAAGGAGAACTCTTATTCCCTGTCAATGGGAATGTAAACTAGTATAGCCATTTTGGAAGAAAGCATGATGTTCCTCAAAAAATTAAAATTAGAACTACCACATGTGTCAACCATTGCACTGCTGGGTATATATCCAAAGGAAATGTAATCCAAAGGAAATGTAATCAATATGTCAAAGATATATCTGCACTCCTATTATTGCAGCACTATTCACAGTTGCCTAGATATGGAATCAATCTAAGTGTCCATCAATGGATAAATGAATTTTAAAATGTGGTATATATACATCACAGAACATCAACCATAAAAGAATGAAATACTGTGATTGTGACAACATGGATAAACCTAGAGGATATTATGTTAAGTGAAATAAGCCAGGCACAGAAAGACAAATGCCACATGCTCTCACTTACATGTTGGAACCTAAAAACATTGATCTCATAGAAGTAGAGAGTAGAAGAGTGACTACCTGCTGGTGAGAGTAGCGGGGACAGTCGGGAATGGAGAGGGATTGGCCAACAGGTACAAAGTTACAGTCAGATAGGACAAATAAATCCTGGTGTTCTACTGCACAGTAGGGTGACTATAGCCAACAATAATGTATTGTATTCTTCAAATTAGCTAGAATAGGGAATTTTTAATGTTTTTGCCACAAAGGAATGAAAAGTGTTTGAGGTGGTGGGTATGCTAAGTACCCTGATATGATCATTATACAACGTATATACGTATTGAAACATCATATTGTAGCCCATAAATATGTACAATTGTTATGTGTCATTTAAAAACAAAATAAAACTTTATTCAGGATAATAAAATAATCTTCTACACTCTGATAGGCGTTTATGAAATAACTCCTAGAAAAATTATTTCAGTAAATAGCATCAAAGGCCAAGTAATTGTTACATTCTAAAAACACTAATCTGTAATAAAATATCAAGAGATTAATTATAAATAAATTCTGATTTGACTTGTGTAATACTTCATCAAATTTTAGAATATACTAACAGTGAAGACATTTTTGGTAACTCTGTAATTGTGTAATAGTCACTGAATCATTTCTTTAAAAAGTGATCTATATTTTATATCTTGAAACAAACATACAGAAAAGATTTTAAGGCCATTTTAACAAAATACATCTTTTCTGCAATAATATTTACCTAAATCTGGCTTTTATTACATTTTTCCTGAACTTTACATAACATTGCCTCATCCCTATTTTTAGCTCTGTTTTCTCACTTTGAGTAGGTTGTGAAGACGAAAATGAAATTACTGGCATGCATAATGTTTTTGCTTGAATTATGGAAGGGGCTTTTTATAACATTGCTCTCTGTTACTACTTTCATTCTCAACAAAGAATCACTCAGAATCTAAGGGCATTCATGGTGTTAAATATCAGAAACAGAAAACGGGGTACATAGATCAGGACATATACTACTAAAATTCTTTTTCTTTGAATTCAGACACACTAATCCAAGCTCACCTACTTAGCAGCTACATGATATTGAACAAGTTATATGACCTCCCTATGCCTTATTTCATTTGTAAAATGGATATAATAAGTCTTACAGGGTTGTTATGTTGAACTACATGATAAATGGAAAACAGCAGTGATTGGCACATCGTTCATGTACAAGAAACAGTGGTCATCATACTTATTATTAGACTTTGAAGGTAGAGATTTCATTGTTTTATTTTGCATCCCAAACACTGATCACAGTGCCTTTTACAGTGCCTATTAAAAGAATACATAAACATATTCTGGCTTCAGGTACGTCCTTATGGT